>NC_000001.11:238911394-239062909 GCF_000001405.40 Homo sapiens | reverse complement strand
TATAAATAAATATATATATATACACACACACACACACATATATTCCAGCAGATAGATCAGAAAGAATATATGCTGAATACATAAGAGTGATTATCTTTGGAGTGGGTATTTAACTTTTAGAGGTCAGTGTAGAGCTAGGAAAAATTTGATGGAGACTTAATTGTATATATCATAAGATTTCTGTAAAATAAATATGTTATTATATTATTTATTATTTACGTAATTTAAATAAAATGTAAATTTTAGGAAGTCCAAAAAGGCAAAAGAAAATCTTTAGCAGAATTTCATTGTCTTGTCAGGTATAGAAAGGATGCAAAATCAATAGAACAATTATTAAAAATAAAATAGAGACATTGAGGACATTTTGATAGTCTGAAATATACATCTAAAAGAAGCTACAAAAGCTGAAAATAGAGGGAATAGTTTGAAACAATATTCAAAAGGATGCAGCCTGGCCATCATGGTGAAACCCTGTCTCTACTAAAATAGAAAAATTAGCTGGGCATGGTGGCACGTACCTGTAATCCCAGCTACTCAGGAGGCTGAGGCAGGAGAATCGCTTGAACCTGGGAGGCAAAGGTTACAGTGAGCCAAGATCGTGCCGCTGCACTCCAACCCGGGCAAAAAGAGGGAGACTTCATCTAAAAAAAAAAAAAAGGATGAAGACTAAATGTTTTTTGATAATGAGTAGATATATATGTTTTCAGACTGAAATCAAAGAGTATGGCAGAATGAATTCTTGCCCCCCGTATTGTAACCTGCCTATTGTCAGACTTTGTAGTTTCTCTGCTTAGAGGGAGAGTGTACTTTCCTACCTCTGGACTTTGGCATTGGCCATGTGTCTGGGTTTGTCCATAGGTGGAAAGATGTGAAATGTTACTCCTGACCCCAAGCTACAGCTTCGTGGTATGCCTTGCCAAATCCTGACTGGGTCAGATGATCCCCAAACTTCCTGTGAATGTATGCGCATGAATGAATGAACGACGGTGTTTTAAACTGTTGAGTTTGGAGTTTGAGTTTTTACATAACAATAGCTCACTAATACAAGCATCGTGCAAGGTAACTAAAATAAACCCACGCCTAGACACAATGCAGTGAAATCTCACAGTATCAAGGATAAAGAAAAAAGTTTCTTAAAAACTACCTAAAAAAAGGTTGTCTGCAAAGCCACAGCAATGACAGTAATAGTAGATTTGACGTCAAAAGACAATAGATATCTAATTTAGAAATCTATGCACTGGTAAAATATGCTTTAAGAATGAGGGGGAAAAAAAAGAATGAGGGCAAGGTAAAAGAGACTGAAATATCCAGACTTTCACACTAAAACTACTACTGCTAAAAACTACCTGTAAAAAGGCATCATGGCTAAGACAATAATTATATGTTATAAGCCTCTTATTTAAAAACTCCAACAATTTTAATCCAAAGTGATAGGGAAAGTATTTAATAACAATTGGAAAAATCCTCCAAGAAAATGCAACAATTGTGACGTTGTGTGAGTTAATATGTGCAAAGTGCTAAGAATGTCTGGAACATAGTAAGGACTATCTAAATAAAACATTTTTAAAAATAAATAATCCTTTAGGATCTTGAGGATGTACTTACTATTATAATATTGATTTTAATATTAGTCTACTGGAAACTGATCAAGCAAATACAAAATATTAAGTGTGTAATAGAATTGAACAATATAATTAAAAAACTTAAAAATACACAGAACACTGCACAATGTAAATGCAGATATTTTCTTTTCAAGAAACCAGAAGACATTTTATTTCCTTTTTTTTTTTTTTTTTTTGGTTTTAAGGAGCAGAGAGTTTAATGGGCAAGGTAGAAGGGGGAAGAAAGAAGGAAGACGCTCCCCCCTGAACAGAGACAGAGGGAGGGGGGCTCCAAAGCCAAGAGAGGGAACCCCCCCTTTTTTTTTTTTTGGACATTTTCAAAATTGATTATATTGATGGTCACTGAGGAAGTCTCAGCTAATGTCAAATACATGATATAACGCAGATAATAGTCTCTCACCACGATTAAAATACATACCAAAATTAAAAACAATAACACCTTATGTATTTTAAAACAATATGTGACTGAAGAATTAATGAATTAGAGTGGATATCAAAATGAACTTAAAGCCAAAACAATAAACTTCTTATTCATTAACATTTATGAGATAAAGTAGTATTTACAGAAGAATGCATAGTCATACCCACATGTATTAAAAACAAGAGAATTTTAATCGTGTGTGTGTGTGTGTGAGTGTGTGTGTGTATATATATATATATATATATATATATATATATATATATATATATATATAAAACTTACTGGTGTCTATCCAAGAGAAATATTTATCCATAATACACAGGCTGCTTCAAATATTTGGTTTATATATATTCCATTCTAGAAGTTAGAAGTAAAGACTTAAAAATATAAGTAAGAAAGACATACATATATGTCATATATATGCCATATATATATCATATATATAAAAAATAACTGGGTATTCCATTGTAGGAGGTAGAAATAAAGAAAAGAATACATACAAAAATCTAAGTTAAAAAGACAAGAACATAAATAAGAATACACACACAATGTAAGTTAAAAAGACAAGAACATAAATAAAAACAAAACAAAAAAGATCAATAAAATCAAAAGCTGACTCTGAAAGCTCTAATAAAAAATACCGAATTTCAAGAAGGCAGAAACGAGATGGGCCAAGTTCAAAAGTTACAGGCAATAATAATTATTCTTATTTACAAATTGAATATAACTTTAAATTTGTAAAGAATTTCCACTTAATATTATACCCCTTAAAAAGATGATAGGGTTAGATGAATTTTATAGCTCATCCTCGTTCTTTCTAGAGAATAGGAAAAGGAGGCTGGTGGCTGTGGAACCACCATATTGTATAACTGTCAATAGTTATAGGTCAAGGAGGAAGAAAAGACAAACACACACCACACTGGAGCGAGTAAGAAAAGTTTAGCTAAATTACCTAATAGATATTTAAGGAAGTTTGTATAGTGAGGATACAGATTTAAAGGGATCACATTCATCCATTCATTCAGTCACCAAATATTGATTGAACACCTATCGAGTGTGTGATCGAGTGTGTGATTTTTTTTTTTAGACAGAAATTTCTGGTTGTCTCACATCTCCTCCACCATAGAGGAGTTAACTAAGAGACAAAGATCCTACCCTTACGGAGCTTACATTTTGATGGGCACGTAGGACTAAATGAAAGAGTCTCTATCTATATTTTTACCTCTGTCTATATTTACCTGTATCAGCTATCTAAATCTATATCTATCCATTCTCTCCATATTTAATGGTATATATAGAAAATATAACGTTAGCATATTAGAATTAGAATATCAAGAAGTAATAAATGCTCTGATGGCTTGTAAAGCAAAGTAAGGGAATAAAACATCACGAGGAGGGCTACTTTAAATCCTTTCACAGGAGGTGCCATTGAGCAGATAAGTGAATGGAGTGGAGGGTTTGTGGTACTATGGGAAGAACACAGCCGTGGGGAGATCCCTGAGTCCAGCGTGGCTTGGCCTGCTGGACACCTTCGAGGAAGAAGTTTTGTAGTGGTGAATGGGAGGAGACAATCCCTAGAGGCAGCCAGGGCTTGATCACAGAGTGTGTGTAGTTCATAAGAAGGACTGATGGAGAGTGAAGAGGTGGATTGGAGGTGAAGAGCGATGTGATTTGTTATGGTTTCTCAAGGATCACTCTGGATGTTGCCAGGAGGGTGAAAGCTGGGAGATAATGTAGGAAGCTACCGCAGGAATCTGGGTCTATAGTGATCGGATCCCTATCTGCCCCTCCAGCTTGACCTCACAACCGTCTATCTGAATAAGTAGGCATGTATGTGAAGGCTGTTATTAAAATGGCCCCCTTGCCCTTCCTTTCAAAAGACCAAATGTTCCTGGCACTTTTTATACTAATTTTATTCTCATTATTTAATCACTTGACTTGCCTTTCTTTGAAACCTCTCTAAATTATGCACATTTATCTTAAATTCTGTGGTCTAAAAATAGAAACACAACTCAAAGAGTGTTCAAAGTAAAATCAAGGAAATTAAGCTCAGGATGCAACATTTTCAATCCTGAAGTTAAATGTACGCTGATTAGTCATACAATTGTCATTTTTTTAAATAAAAGTTTTGGTTGCTGGTGGTTTTGCCCCCTATATAAAGAAGCTATTAATTTGGACATTTTTGCCATAGGGAGGCTGTTGTCTTAGGTCAGGCTTTCCTAGAAAGAGACTCAGAGAAGGAGACTGTGTGCTGGAGGTTTATTGTGAAGTGCTCTTGGGAATCACAACTGTAATGGAGTGAGAGAAACAGGACTGGATGGAGGAAGAAGCTCACCTGCAATGTAATTCTAGCCAGGGTCGCAGCAATTTTAGAACCGTTCTAATTTGAGCCAAGACATTGTCTTCATATGCCCACATCTGCTAATCAATGGATTCTGCATGCCGCTGGATGGAGCTATAACCTCCAGCAGGGCAGCTGCCTTTTGACCTGAGAACATTGCCTGGAGAGAGACTCAGGCACGAGTCTTTGCAGCTGGCAAGTGAGCACCTCAGTCCTAAGGAGGGGATCTGGGCAGCGCAGCATCTGTTATGGCTGCTTACTGATTCCTCATTGTGAGCAGTGGTGATAAATAGCATTTATCTTTTTGTGTGTCTCGTCATTCCAGAGTTAGTTATACTCTAAATCTGACTGTGAAAAGTTGCTCTGCTTAACTACGCATTCCTTGCAATTTGCCAAGGCTCAGCATCATTCTCATCTCCTCTGAGGATGCTTTCTTTCTAACCATGTCTTGTGCCATCTGCCAAATTCAGCACTCCCTACTTCTTTGAACCTTACTATACTTTGATTCTTTGTTTACAATAGGATGGAACCAAAAGCCAGAGAACCAATTAAAGGTCTCCCTACATTGGAAGCAATGCATCAGACAGTATAGAGAAATTCTGTCACACTACTTTTTGTTCTGCCCCATTTTCAACAGTTTTCATGAAGGTGGGAAGCTTTAATTGTCATAGCAGTTCTGAGCTCTACAGCTGGTATTTCTTATTAAGTGATTGTGGTGGGGGTGGCCAGGAGGGGGGCCGACAACAAAGGGGTCTGGACTTGAGATCCAGTTGGGAGAAGCAAGTGACCATTCCAGCAAGCTGCCAGAGTAGTCTAACCAGGACATGAAATGTCAATTTTTTTTTGACTGATTTTGGATGCTAAGGACATCCCTATCTTTATTCGTGAAAAAATAAGGAAGAAGAATTCCTACACAAAAAGCTCTTAAGTGAGGGATAGTATTTATCTTCCATGAATGAAAACAGGATCAGCCTATGGTGAAGTTTTTATATCTTGCTTAATAAAAATTGTTGTTACGTTTCTATTTATCTCATAAGCTCTTGTAAGAAGAACACTTCATTACATATTGGTATCCAGAGTGTCAGCCTTGATTTTTTTTATTTTCCTAAGTGCTGTGAGTGCAACTGGCTGTGGCTGGTGTCGTGGGAGGTAAAAGAATTTACCAAGACAGACAGTCATGGGTAAGGAAAGGCAGATTTATTAGGGAAAGTACAAAGATTGCAAGAAAGCAATGGGCAGTGCAGCAGAGAGAAGTCTGTCCGCCAAGAGGCGGGGGCTGGAGGGAAGTTTTATAGGATCATGCTGGAGGGGGCCACCTGCACAATGAGGTCCTGCTGCTGGGCCTACTTGCCAAGCAAGGCATTTGGGAACAGGATGTCCTGCCAACAGGTTGTCTGTGATTAGCTGTTCTCTCGGAACAATGGTCCTCCCTCCCTGGGGTTCCCTCCTCATTGTTGCTTACTTATCTTATCAGGACACCACACTAAGTATCTTCCACCATCACATATTGCCAGGAAAAAAAAATGATCTCTCTCTTTTCATATGGCAGTTGTGACTATGAGTCAGTATCAAATATCAGTAAGAACCGTATTTTGGTCAACAGAAAATATACCTGTCAGTTGGGACTCTGCCAGTTCCTTCTTTTTTTTTTTTTTTTTGGTGAGACAGAGTCTTGCTTTGTCACCCATGCTGGAGTGCAGTGGTGGGATTTCAGCTCACTGCAATCTCTGCCTTCCGAGCTCAAGCGATCCTCCCACCTCGGCCTCCCAAGCAGCGGGACCACACATGTGTGCCATTATGCCTGGCTACTTTTTCGTATTTTTGGTAGAAACGGGGTTTTGCCATGCTGCCCAGGCTTCTATGGTCTTGAACTCCTGAGCTCAGGCGATCCACCCACCTCAGCCTCCCAAAGTGCTGGGATTATAGGTATCAGCCACCACATGTGGCCCTCGGCCAGTAACTTTCTATGTGATTTGAAAAAGATAACATGTAAGAAAATCAACCAGGCACATTAAACCCAGGCTTTTATTTGGAATGCTGTAGCATGAGAAGATCCCTAAAGCAGTGTCTACCTTGGGAAGAAAAGGGGGAGTTTTTACAGAACCTTAGCCAGAGAGATAAGCTGAAGTTCAGCTAATTTCAGGAACAGTTGCTCAAAATGGTTCTTGAAACAGGGAGAAATTACTCTTATAGTTTAGCAACTGTTGGTTTGAGCTGTTTGGGTTTAGTACAAAGGGCGAGGAGGAGCTGCTGCAGGGGCTAAGATCCTTTACACAAAAGGGTGGTAAGGAAACCATCGCAGGGGGTCAACATAATGCTAGGACTACAGTAGAAATGTTTAGCGTTTCAATATCTCCTACGTGCTTTCCGCTTAGTCAACAGAGAAATTGTTGCTTTGTTCTGTCCTCTAAGATAGCTATATCACTTTCATCTGCTAAAGTCTCAGACTCATTGGGCATGGCTACCACTGGAGCAAAGGGAATTTTCCATCTCCGTATGAAGGTTTGAGTCTGCTGAAATAAACTGACAATAGATTAATAAAAGAAAAAGGCAAGTTTATTACCTGTATGGGGGAATCACAGGGAATGATTACCTAATAATCCAATGAACTTCAGATTCTTATACAACTTTCTTCCTCAGGGAAGGGGGACATGAGGCAATTTTGAAGTGTAGGAAATGATTTTTAGGAGAGTTGAATGGGCCCAAGGAACAGACAATAGCTTGTGACAAAGTCTATCTAGGCGTGGTGACATTCCTCTGTCTTCCTGTGATGTAAGTTCAATCTTCTCTGGCTAATGAAATTTCAGGGAGGGAAGTAAAGGCAATGTTCCTAATGGAGGAGCTTCAGATATGAAAACTTCAATGAGAGAGAGAGAGTTCCACCCTATGCTTGTGGGGAGAAACAGGTCAGAAAGTCCTGGTTCTAAAGCTGCTTCTAAGGCCTTTAATTTTCTTTAGTTCAAAGTGCCAAAGCTCCATACTGTGGGGTATTGTTTTCTGAGCACTTCCATCAGGACTTCTTGTGACTTTTGTCTTTGTAGTTAAACTTCAATCATTTGTTGAGTTAGTAGTTGTTCTGAAGCATTTATGAATCCAGAGAAAGTACAGTCAACTATGGAAAAAACAAGAGTTAATGTAACCACCCAGTGGGTTCATCTTGCCTGCTGCCTAGACAGAGCCAATTTCTCAAGACAGGGGAATTGCAGTAGAGAAAGAGTAATTCACATAGATCTGGCTGTGCAGGAGAACAGAGTTTTATTATTACTCAAATCAGTCTCCCCAAGCATTTGGGGAACAAAGTTTTCAAGGACAACTTGATGGGTTGGGGGAGGCCAGTGAGCCAGGAGCACTGATTGGTCAGAGACAAAATCATAGAGAGTCAAAGCTGTCTTCTTGTGCTGAGTCAGTTCCTGGGTAGGGGCCGCAAGATCAGACGAGCCAGTTAATCCAACTGGGTGGTGCCAGCTGATCCATCAAGTGCAGGATCTTCAAACTATCTCAAGCACTCACCTTAGGAGTAGTTTAGAGAGGGTCAGAATCTTGTAGCCTCCAGCTGCATGACTCCTAAACCATAATTTCTAATCTTTTGGCTAATATTAGTCCTGCAAAGGCAACCTAGTCCCCAGGCAAGAAAAAGGCCTGCTTTGGGAAAGGGCTGTTATCATCTTTGTTTTAAACTTTAAACTATAAACTGAGTTTCTCCCAAAGTTAGTTCAGCCTACGCAGAGGAATAAACAAGAACAGCTTGTAAGTTAGAAGCAAGATAGTGTCGATCAAGTTAAATCTCTTTCACTGTCTCAGTCATAATTTTGCGAAGGCAGTTTCATTAACATAAGAATTATCAGAAGATTTGGAATGATGCTTCTTAGACAAAATCCTGCCCCATCTGGGATCATCTAGGAGAATAAATCCTATCCCTTCTGGAGTTTATTGATAAGGCTGGCTTGAAATCCATAGAGTTGTGTTCACTGTCTTGATCTGCTTAGAGAACAGAGATTGGGAGAAGAAACTTTAAAACATCATTTTAGCAATGGAAAATTTTAGAGGAAGAGAGAGGGGAAGAGATGACAATGTAAAGAAGAGAAAAAGACAAAAATGGCTGTCATAATCAGAGGCTTGTAGTATGGGTGCCATGATCAAAAAGTCTTGGGAAGAGGCCACCATGTCTACTTGGATGCTTGATCTGAAGATATTGGGGAAGATAGTTCTTTCATGGTGAAATTCGATTTTGGAGTATCCTGAGATATTCTGTTTCGGATCTCTAGTCAGTATGGGTATCTAGAAGGTGCGTGTAGGAAACCTCTTAAACTTGGAAGACAACATCCACAAATTTTAAAAAGCCATTAAAAATAAAATTGAATTCCAGATGATACTTTATTTAAAAATAATAATAATAATAAAATAAGAGCTATTTTGGTGGAGGGAGATTATGGGAGGTTAAGAGCCATGCTATCATCGGTCCTCTCCAGGCCTCTGTGTGCTCTTATAGTAATCCTTCTTGCATCTGACTAGATCCTAGGGTTCCCTTGAACAAAACTTTGAAAGCTAATGATGAAGAACATAACAGAAATTTACATAAATATATATATGTGTGTGTGTGTATGCATATATGCTATATTATATGTGTATGTGTGTGTGTGTGTTTGTAATGCAAGCTAGAACACATAAAGTGCAGCAATATTCAGAAGCAAATCCTATGGCAATTTAAGAGGGAATCATTATTGTTACCTATGGATATGCGTCATGGAAAACAAAAAATCTCAAGATGCTGGCTATGATTGTTAGACCAATGGCAAGTTCCAGGTGATGACAGGTGATGGTGAATAGGAAGGTTTAGTGGAAGAGTTTGAAAACAATTTTTGGATAATCTGGTATGTTATGCTGAGCTATCCTGTAGGCAAAGCAGAGCCCACTGAAAGCGTTTGATCAGAGAATAAAGTGATTAGAGCTGTTCCTTAGGAAGGTTCCTATGGCAACGGTATGTGGTTTGGCTTGGGCAGAGACAGCCTGGAAGCAAATAGGCCAATTTAGAAGTTACAGGAATAGTCCAGATAAGGTAATAGGATTTAAACGAATGAAGTGGCAGTGAGAATAAAACAGAAGGGATATCAGAGATATCTAAAATATCAGAGATATTTTAGAAGTAGTAAGTCTACAACTCATCATGACTAATGAGATTTTGAAGGGAAAAAAGAGAGAGGAATTTAAACACACTTTTGAGGTTGAAAAGTCAGATATCTAGGAGGATAATGGTCTCATTAGCAGAAGTAAAAGCAACAGGAGTAAAGTTGCATTTCCTGTGAGTGGCAGATATGCCAGGAGTTTGAATCTGGACATGGCGAGGCTATCATCTTGTCACTAGTTCTCACTGGTAACTTATATTGTTAAATAGAATGCAACAAATCATTCCTTTTAATTATCTTACATTTGGGTAGTGACTATTAGACCTGCAGTGTGTGGAACAGTATCTTCTGACAATTTTTATGTTTAAAATAAATTTTCTAATAGCTTTGATGAGAATCATCAAGGCAACCTTCTCTGTGTAGTAGGTTTACAAAGCTATTTATCCTGCTCTTTTCCTTTCTCTGCCACCGTGGTGTGTTCTTGACTCCACTTCTCGCCATGTCTTCTCACAAGACCTTCAGGATTAAGCGATTCCTGGCCAAGAAACAAAAGCAAAATCATCCCATTCCCCAGTGGATTCAGATGAAAACTAGAAATAAAATCAGGTACAACTCCAAAAGGAGACATTGGAGAAGAACCAAGCTGGGTCTATAAGGAATTGAACATGAGATGACACACATACTTATGGTGTCTGAAGGTCATGATCATGTTACCATATCAAGCTGAAAATATCACCACTATCTGGAGAGTTTGACATGTTTTCCTCTCTGAACCTGTTATGAACACGTTGGTTGGCTGGGTTCAGTAATAAATATGTGAGGCCTTTCATTTCAAAAAAAAAAAAGGCAATTTATCCTAATAGATTTAAGAGCTCTGAAAGGTAGAAAAGATCCCTACATTTATGTGAGAAAAATAAACTTGATAACAACGAAACACAGGGCAGTACTGCAATATGCTCACCAGCTTATTTGGTGAATCATAAAAGGACAATTGAAATGGAGGTGTGCTCCTCAGATAGTATCCAAATGTCCAATACAGCTGCTTTAGAACTCAAGCAAAAGTAGAAGGCTCTTCTCCAATTGAAACCCTCTGTGTATCAATGGCACAGTTGCTCGCCTCCCTACCAGGGGATAGATTCTCTCAGCATTGAGCACGACTTTTGTGTGTGTTGCTTCTTTCTTTACAGACACAAATGTATATGTGGCAGAAATCCTCAGCTGCAGAACTGTGCATTACATGATGAAACATGTGAGACAGAGCTTGCACTTTCTGTAGGCCCCAGGTGAAGGCTGGGTTTTTTTAACCTCAAATATATCATTTAAAAGAGTCTCCTTTTTCATTGCTAATGTATAAAATTTGAAAAAAAACTCTGTGTTTATGTAATTGATAAACTTATTCAATATGTATGGCTCTTGAGATAAAAAAGAAGGATTTGTCTTCTTTCAGAGAAATGCCAGAGCCAGCATCCTAAAAAACAAATGTGCATATAGTAATCCTTCATTTGGGTACATGCTATCCAAAGGATAACTTCACAATTCCATATTAGTATTTGCCAAATGTACCCCAACTAAGCTTCAATCTCCCCAACACACTCCATCCTCAACCAACTCTGCCCCAACCACACTGAATGCCCTTTTAGCCCCCTGCCTTTGGATGTGATGATCCTTACATTTAAGCTTTTCTTCTAATTTACCTAGGAACCTTATATCTACTGCTTGAGGCTGAACTCAAGTACAATCTTCCCTCAGTAGCCATAGGAGATTGGCTCCAGGACCCCCACAGATACCCACATCTTTAGATGCTCAAGTCCTAGATATAAAATGGGCTAGTATTTGCATATAACCTACGCACACCTTCCTGTATACTTTAAATCTTCTATAGATTAATTATAACACCTAATACAACATAAATGCTAAGTAAATAGTTGTTATACTGTATTTTTTGTGTTTTTTTTATTGTTTTCTTTTTTTTTGAATATTTTTAATCCCAAGTTGGTTGCAGAATCACAGAGCCCCATGGATGTGGAGGGCTAATTGTATTACCTTCATTGTGATCTTTCTGGGGTTTCTTCAGGTAGAGGAATATTTAAACTAACTTGTGATTCTGTCATGTTTTATTTTCCACTTTAACACTTAGTGCATTACTCTGATTTCACATATTTATATGAATTGTTCAGTTCTATCAGTTCTACCTTATAATGTGCTTCTAATTCATGGCTTGCACAGAAACCTATTAGTAAGAGAAAAAGAGTCTTTACTGAGAAATTATTATATATCAGGAATTGTACCTACATTAGCTCACCTAACTTCAGTGCAACATCCTATGTGGTAGAGGTCGTTATCCTTGGCTGGATGCAGTGGCTTACGCCTGTAATCCCACTACTTTGGGAGGCTGAGGTGGGCAGATTGATTGAGTCCAGGAGTTGGAGAACAGCCTGGGTCACAAGGCAAAACTCTGTTTCTACAAAAAATACGAAAATGGTGGCACATGCCTGTAGTCCTAGCTACTTGGGAGGCTGAGACAGGAGGATCGTTTGAGCCCAGGAGGCGGAGGTTGCAGTGAGCCAAGATTGTGCCATTGCACTCCAGCCTGGGCAACAGAGCAAGACCCTGTCTCAAAACAAAAAAGTTTTTTTTAAAAAAGAAGTTATTATCCTGAATTTACAGATAGAATGGAGTTCCAGAGAATCCCAGTAACTTGTCCAACCATGGCCACACGTCTAGAGAACAACTGAGAATCAAACCTTGGTTTTCCTGACCGCAAATACCTTGCAGTTAAACACAATAGTATGTTTCCTTTGAGAATGTCATACTTGTAGAGAGTTGTTGAGGTAGGCGTGCTTTTATCCTAGCTTGGTCCACCTCTGACTTTTTTTTTTTTAATACAGCTTTGGCACCCTAGCTTAGTATGTGAATATTCACACAAAAGAGCAGGACGAAGTCTATTCCCACTACGAATTTTATTTGTAAAAGACTCCTGAAAGATTTTCCTCTGAAACATTCATTTTCAGTCAATATCTTAGTCACAAGAAAGAGCTTGTCTAGATGAGCAGTGAATGAGTTAGGAAGCACATTGCCTGTTATAAGCAGACCTTCAATAAATTATTGTTGAATTGAATACAATAGATGAATTATGCAGAGAAATGTGAGTTAAAGTTTTGACATTTTCCTAAAACTGACTTATAATATTGCCCTCACATTGTTATACTTTAAAGATGTACTTCATATGTATTATTGATTGCTTTAAGGACTTCATCTGGGCTTCTCTAGTAAAAACATAGAGTAACAATAACTTACTTAAAGGGATCATATTCAAGTTCTAAAAATTAATCAATTAGCACATATTCAAGTTCGTTGGGAGCTGAAAAAGAAAAGTGCTGCTAGATATGAGGGCAAGGTAAACAGATAAACTTTCTAAATTGCAAGTACTTTCTTCTTTCTTGTGTAGTTGAACTTGAGGTCACCAGATTCCACTTTGAAGATGTTAATACTGACAAAAATTCTGCCATTGACTAAACTCTACCCAGGCTCCTCTGAGCTCTGTCTTCTTCACTGGCCCTCAATCTTGGCCTATAAACTTAAACAAACATTAAAATAGTGATATAGGGATTTAGAAGAAATCACTTAGGCAGATAGCAAGGGTGTGGGAGTCCTTGGTAAGGCTTTTCTTTTTAATGAAAAGCAGCCCCAAATCATTTTCTAATAAAGAGCAGCCTGTTAAGTTGAGCTACAGACATAGACAAGCAAGCTGGGAGCTTGCACTGGTGAATGCTGGCAGGAACTAAGGGTTAGACATTTTCAAGATGGCAGCTCCACCCTTTCTGCCAGCCATGTGTACTGTAAGGAGCAGACAAGATGGCATGGAACTGGAAAGTCCATTTGCATGAGAAGATTAGGGTAGTGATCAGCCTTCCCCACGCACTATGTAAATGTCATATCTGATCAAACCAATCTATGAGCCCTATGCAAATCAGACACCACCTCCTCAAACCGGAGTATAAAATTGGATGCATTCGCCACCAGCTGGTCCTTTCTGCTTGCAGACTCCTTCCTCTATGGAAAAAGCTGTTTCTCTGTCTCTTGTCTTCTACCTATTAAACCTCTGCTCCTAAACTCCTCTTGTGTGTCTGTGTCCTAAATTTTCCTCATGCACAACAGCAAACCTCAGGGTTTATATCCCAGACAATGTAGCCACATCAATAGTTTCTAATATCTCAAGGCCATATTCCTAGAAATGTCCTGGTCCTCTTAAATTTCTTGTCTAAGAAAACTCAAGGCTGCCAAAAGAATGTATTGTTGGTTCTAGTCAACACCTGATCATAGATCCCTAGCCACTCTTTCTTACAGCATTTACTAAAAAGGGCTTACAACTATGAATTCCTCCCTTGCCCCTTTGAGATGTATCTGTATCTTCCCAAACTCAGGAGGTCTTCCTCAGAGGACCTGAAAGCCATCCCTTGGAAGTGCAGCCATCGGTAAGGAGCAGGCTTTGTCTCCAGTTGCTGTAGGATGATAGAATCCTAACTATGTATCTTCATATGATCATATTCATATTAGAATAGGGTCCACTTTTATTATCAATAACTTTGATAATTGTCTGTTAGCAGATACAGCAGGCCTAATCGCATTTACACTGATTAACCCACTACAATTTTTTACTTTCCTGATTCTGCTGAGCCTTCCCCACCCAGCCTCCTCCACAGACTTCCTCATTCTTCTTTAAAACACTCAGCAACCTCTGTCCAAATTGAAGTTGAATTCAGTTCATGCTGGACTTTTTCCCCTATTGTGATCATTATAACTGATTAAAATTTATCTTTACCACTTTAACCAGTGTCTGGCCTTTGTATTTATTTATTTATTTTTTTGGTCTTTGACAACAGTTTGGCAAATACTTGATCCTCATTAGACCTAGCTATTGGGAAACTAAATCTGGATTCGTTAGTTAATGTGAGGTGAAACATCAACTTTAACGTGAAGTAACAAATTGCTGAAAGTAAGAGTGATTTGCATCATACTGATAATGAAGATAACATAAAGAATATTGGCAACACTCTTCACTTTGAATTGTAGGAGTGGATGCAGTCTCAGTATATCTTTATGTACAATCATTTACAAATATATAATAAGAAAATTTTTTCCTTCTTCACTAAATATAAAATTGGTCAACTTTTGATATAATATTCTTTTGTTAATAATGCATATAATATTTATTCTTTGGAAAAATGCAGAACATATCTAAAATATAAAAATATTACATACATACACTGCTCTTAGCCACTCAATATTTTGTAGCATTTCTATTAAACTTTTTCTGTGTATTCTTATATTTAATGTTTTATCACAAAAGTGTCTCCTATGTTATTAACAATCTTAAAAACCTGTTTTTAATGCCTATATCATATATCAATATATGCATGTCTACAGTGCCATTAATATACTCACCCCTTATTGATGTTGGTTTTGAAATACTTTCTGCAAAAATACTACAGAAAAGATTATGTAGTTAGACAAATAATTTTAATTTTTTCATCATATTCAAATCCAAATAGATAATAATTTTAGTAATTGGATTATTTTAGGCCTGATTTGTAGAAGTAAAATTACCATATCAAAGAACAGAAACTCTTAGCTTTTGATGTTTATTTCCAATTTGCTTTCTTTCTCACAAATCTGTCCTAACTTCTTTGGAAGGATAAGAAGTTGCTGCATGTATACAATCTTAAAACAACTACTCTTTATAACATTTTATGATCTGATAGAAGGAAACAATGGTGTTTTACATGAATATTAATTATTTTCTTTGATTGTTAGTGAGGCTGAATTAAATCCTCCAGAGAGAAACTTAGAATGAAGATGGGACTAAGAATTACAGCCCGCAAGCCATGATGAAGCATTTCTTCTTGAATACTTTTCAGAATATGGAGATATTTATATCCCTTGAGTGTCTTCATCTAAAACTACCTGAAGAAAAGAAAACGTCACATTCATAGGGCATTACTTTTATAACTTTTATGGTTGATCTAGATCCCTAGATCTCAAATGATTATTAGACTTAGTAATCCTTGGTTCAAATAAAATATGATGCAGATTTCCAAGATACAACAATTACTCAAGTTGAAGTGGAATGGGGGTGGCAAGCCTCACTGGTTTAGATGGTCCTGAACAGAGAGGTGCCTGAATGGGCTGTAGGGATTGTCTAGGCTCAGAACACGATGCCCTAAAGTAGCGTGCTTGGCAGGCTGAATACTTCGAACCGGAGATTGGAAAAGCCTCAGAAGTATGAAGTTCTCTGTGACCTTCTTCCATTCTTCTCTCTCCTCTCTCCATTTCTCCCCCAAGAGAGGTCATAGAAACTAGAACTCCTCTTCAAAAAGCAAGCCATAAAATCAAGAAAGGTCACTCTCTGACCTACTGTGTCTGAAAGTAAGTTATGAGTGCCTCATTCCAGAGGGGGCCTGCTCCATATACCCAGGAGAAGAAAGAGACCAAGGTCTTGCTGTGTTCCCCCACTCAGTTTTTTCACCATTAGATCATACTCTTTTTGTCCAAGCACATTTCTGCACAATTATCAGCTTCTTTATATCAGACTTAGCATAAAAATACACAGTTTTCCCTCGGTCTTTGGGCCTTCATTTCTAAAGGCTCCCATGCTAAATAAAACTTTATTAAAGAAATTTGTTATGACTGTCTTTTGCAAACCTATCTTTTGTTCTAGGAATATCAGCCATAACCCTTGGGACGGATGAAGAAAAGCAATTATCTTCTTATCCCTACAGACACATAGCTTTCACATCACTGATATGGGTTAAAAATAAAGAAACAATATGGAGGCACAGAGAGATTATACAATTTGTCAAGTGCCACACAGCTATTAGTGATATGGCCAAAATATCTCAAAATGCTTTACAGACTTATAAACACTATGTATATTTTCTTGCTTCTTCTCTCGTCTGTGTCCTGACTGTTGCCATTCGAGTTGGCAAGAGGTCAGTTTTCCTAAAAATGCGCCATCATATCTGTTGACAATATATTTGCTTCAAATATTACTCATATCTAACTTCACAGCTGTGGATTTCATGTTATGCTCATAATTCAGGTTTTATTTGTGCCTAAGACAGGCTGACATGCAAATATTGAAGAACAGAGAAGCAAAAAGGCAGGGTAAAGATATGGATTAAAGTGGACAGAATCGTAATGTTCTAGAAGTTGTATTTCTTAAAAATAAATGTAATGTGGCTACTTGGAAGAAAGAAGAATGGGAAACGTTGATTTTTCTTGTAATCATTTATAGGCTATTGGTAGTTTTCTGGTGGAACTCATGTCAGAGGCTCTATTTTTATTTTATTTTATTTTATTTTATTTTATTTTATTTTATTTTTTTGAGATGGAGTCTCGCTCTGTCACCAGGCTGGAGTGCAGTAGTGTGATCTCGGCTCATGTCAGAGGCTGTATTTTTTCTGCAGGGAAGAACTAATTTTTAATATTGACATAGCAACTTTTTCAGCCTATTAATTTCAGAAATCACTGTTATGGTAGAAATAATTTTTATTTCATATGATGTAATAATTTTTTTTAGGTTTTTCTTCTCCATATTAATTAATCTTTCCCCTCCCTTATTTATTTATTTATTTGAGATGGATTCTCACTCTGTCACCCAGGCTGGAGTGAAGTTGTGTGATCTTGGCTCACTGCAACCTTCGCTTCCTGGGTTCAAGTGATTATCCTGCCTCAGCTTCCTGAGTAGCTGGGATTATAGGCCCCTGCCACCACATCCAGCTAATTTTTGTATTTTTAGTAGAGATGGGGTTTCTCTATGTTAGCCAGGCTGGTCTCGAACTCCTGACCTCAGCTGATCCACCCAGCTCGGCCTCCCAAAGTGCTGAGATTACAGGCGTGAGCCACTGTGCCCAGCCCTCTCCCTTATTTTTGAAACGGTGTCACAAATACTTAGAATTTCCAACAATAAATATTTTAAGAAACACATAATTATGTTTGAGTCTTTAATTGGGTCCCCTTCAGCTAAATAACTAGACGATGACATTCTAGTCAACCCAGTTAGCTTAACTGGGTTAAAGGTATGACAGTTACTTGCTTTATGAATCTAATATATAATTCACTTAATCATGTATGTCTGTATTGAAATTCTACAACTCAGAAAAATAGTCCTGACTTAGAGAGATCTCTCGGCCTTTGTGTGCCCAGTTAGTCACTAAATATTTAGAAATCTTTTTCCTTTCCTATGGCTCCTCTTAATAGGTCCTACAATCCTGGTAACTCCAATTCTCAAAACTTCCACCACCACTTAGGGGCATCAGCTGGGGACATTTGCATTAGATTTGGGAGGTAAAAGACAAACTGAAACCATGTGGCCTAGTGGCAGATGCAGGCAGGAGTGTGGGCTTTGGGTTTGGAAGCAATGAGATTTTTCCAGCAATTCTGAGTGTCTTTCTGTGAATCACCCACGTAGGGCAGCAGATAGCTAAGGTCACCCACTGGCTGTTGTCTCTTGCAATTCCTGAATTTCTTGAACATCAGTAGCAATTTTTTCTGACCTTGGTCTCTCGGCCTCTAAATGGTTTTAAGAGCTGCTAATTTTTTTTTTTTTTGCACTGAATGGCTTCCTTCTTGAAATAACTGGTGCCTATTTTCCTAAGGAGGCACTCACTGAGTATGTTTCTTCATTTCTGAAAAAAAAAAAAAATCTCTAATTTCCTCTTAGTATGAAGTCCTATGATTGCAAAGTCAAGTGAGGCATTGACCTGTTTACGTCTCAATTGAATGTGACACACACACTTCTTCAGTTGCCATAGTGTATGTGCTGTTTATGACAAGCATTGCCGATGGTACTGGCAAGGCATAAAGTAAAAAAGATTCAGGAGCTAAAAGAAAATATGTGGGAAGGGAAAAGCACACAATGTATACATGGTAGGCTTCGAAATGATACAAGAGGCATAATAGTGGTCATGAAAATAGAAATTAAAAATAGACAAACTAGGGAGGTATGGAAGAGGTCCATAAAGAGTGCACAATTTAAATGTTAAAAAGTTAGGAAAGGGGGCCGGGCACTGTGGCTCACGTCTGTAATCCCAGCACTTTGGGAGGCTGAGGCGAGCAGATCACGAGGTCAGGAGTTTGAGACCGTCCTGGCCAGCATAGTGAGACCCCGTTTCTACTAAAAATACAAAATATTAGCCAGGCATGGTGGCATGTGCCTTTAGTCCCAGGTACTCGGGAGGCTGAGGCAGGAGAATTGCTTGAACCCAGCAGGTGGAGGTTGCAGTGAGCCGAGATCGTGACACTGCACTCCAGCTTGGTGACAGAGTGAGACTCTGTCTCAAAAAAAAAAAAAAAAAAAAAAGGAAAGGGCTACCACCATAAGAATTCATAGAAAGAACAGTGTTATGAAGGTGCATAATGTACTTATAAAATACTGTACATTTTCCTGAGTGGATTGAGGGGAGTGGCAGAGAGAGAGAGAAGCTGGGGCCAGTTGGTACATGGCTTTGCATGCCATGCTGAGAAGTTTGCTCTGTCTTCCACAGGGAATGAACTTTTAACAATTTTTGAGCATGGTAATGACATAATCATATTGGTCTTTATAAAATTCAACTGCTTAGGAAAGAATAATGAACAGTATCTACATGTAAGAAGCTAGCAGAAGAAGAGATGTCATCAACAGAAATATTGTTTAAGAGTTCAAGATTTTAAAGACATGGTGTTGCAGAGATCTAGAGAAGAGAGATTAAAGAGAAGGGGGAGGAGACTGCATTTATGTGTTATTTCTCTCTGTTCATTGCAGATGGAATGGATACAGAAATTTTACTCTTTACCCCAGCTACCCTGTAACTTTGATAACTGGAAAGCACATTCAAGGAGCTGCTTTCTCCTTTACTCTTTGATTTCTGCTCTCAAAAGTTATTACTGTTCCTTGTTTACGTATGGAAGAAAGGAGGCAAAGAGAGCTGATACACACAATCAATCTGTCGCTGACAAGACGGGGATACATTTCAAATAATAGGCACCATCCATTAGGCTGCTTTCTCGTTCAATTATCCTAAACTCAAAGAGTTTCACTTAACCTCTACTCTCCTGTCAGCTTTCTACCTCAACTTAGGGCAGGACTACTTCTTAGGGAATACAAGCAAGCATTTCATAGGCACTCATATATATACTGAAACAATAGAGTTCCCTGACCCCCTTGCAGGACTTGTGACAGGAGTGGGAGGGGGAGAACCCAGATGGGCAGGTGCAGGAGCCAGGGTGAAGGCTCTGGGCTCCGGCCCCACAGTAGCATCTAAGGGCGCGCTATAATTAATGCTGTGTTAGCAGTTGCTGTCCGTGGATGGCTAAGTGTTAAACGAGCTCAGTGGAGAGTCAGGCTGACAGCCTTTTACACCCTGCCCTCTTGGTACCCGGCTCCTTATCCGGCATGCAGGAAGAATCAGGTCACACGGAGTTGAAGGACGGTGAATGTAGGGGTTTTATTGAGTGACGGAGGTGGAGGTGGCTCTCAGCAGGATGGATAGGGAGCTTGAAAGGGAATGGAGTGGGAAGATGAACTTACCTGGAGTTTGGCCATCCCGCAGCTGATCTCTCTGACCATCCCCAGCTGAACTCCTCTTGACATTCAGATGCTCCCTCTCTGCCACGCCGCTGTGCCGCTCTGCCACTCTGCCACTCTTATGCTCTTCTGTTCCTCTGCTCATGGAGTTTAGGGTTTATATAGGCACAGGATAAGGGTGTGGCGGGCCAGAGTGGTCTAGGAAAAGGTAACATTTGGGCACAAAAACAGAAATGCCTATTCCCATTTAGGGCCGCAGGTTTCCAGGCTTGAGAGTGGGGCCTTTGCTGGGGAACCACCCTCTTCTATCCAGTATTTTCTTGCCTCCTGTTCGTATCAATGCTACTAAGGGCATGATAGGATGGGTTGACAACTTAAAGATACAGAGCTCTCATACTGGAAGAACTGCTTACAAGAAGGAAAACTTACCTCCCAAGATTCATGGTGAAAAGACACAGAGTGATTCTTATTAATATCACAAAGGCAAAGCCAAGGAAGAATAATGTGATTTTTATTGCTTTGAGGTTTGACCAAAGGCACTGGAAGTTTTGGATAAATTACATTCATTTTATTGTAGCAATGCGTAACTCATGTGGTGTAACAGGCTGCTGAACTCAGGCTTGCAAAAAGTGCCCCCAGTGAGATATGGTGTGGCAGAGGAGTGGGTAGGACCATCAGCAGACTGGGGTTCCAGGGCCACCTCTGAACCTGTCTTATATGACCTTGAGGAATTAATTTAACTCTGCTGGGCATCCATTGCCACACCTGTTAAACTGAGGAGGTAGAACTCAGGGGGCTGAACTTGAATTTTAAGTCTCTAAAATTCTATTGCTGTGGTGGATACTCTAAAATATGTTTTTTTTTTCTTTTTTGTTTTTTTGTTTTTGAGATGGAGTTTTGCTCTTGTTGTCCAGGCTGGAGTGCAATGGCACGATTTTAACTCACTGCAACCTCTGCCTCCTGGATTCAAGCGATTCTCCTGCCTCAGCCTCCCGAGTAGCTGGGATTACAGGCGCCTGCCACCATGCCAAGCTAATTTTTGTATTTTTAGTAGAGACAGGGTTTCACCATGTTGGCCAGGCTGGTCTTGAACTCCTGACCTTAGGTGATCTGCCTGCCTCGCCCTCCCGAAGTGCTGGGATTATGAGTGTGAGCCACCATGCCCAGCCTAAAATCTCTTGAATGTGCTCCTAGAAATTCATCCTGATTTTTCTCCCTGAGTTTTATGACGTGCTTTTGTTCCCCCCTCAAGAATCCCAAGAGCAATCTGCCACCATATCTTTGTTTTACTAAAATCTATTTTCAGTAGACTTGAACTTTGATTTCCAAAGATGTGAATGCTAAATGTTTAATAGAAAACCATCTTTGATGGGGGAAATCTTCCTGTTAAAATTATACTTACTGTTTTTGTTTCTGAAAGAGGCTTCAAAATATTGGATAGTAAATGAGGAATGGAGGTGGAGAGAGCAATCTCAAGTAGCTTGCCAAAGATATTATTGTAGTAATTTTAAATGCTTGGCTTGTGTTCAAGTTAAACTTTGTATTGTCCAGCAAATGTTTACATAATTTAATAGAAATAATGGTTACAAATAAACTGAGAACAATGCCTGTGCAGATAATGGACATTAAGGCTTTTTTGTTGTTTTTAGTTTTGAGGGTTTTTTTTTTTTTTTGCTAAATTCCCCTTTCTTTACCACTAGTCACCTGTAATTCACATGTGAATTAGAAGATATTTTGCTTTGTTAGAAATACAGCAGCATTGCCATTTGATTTTTACTATGGATGTACTATATTTTAATATTTGATTTCTGCTATTCATCAACTTTAAGCTAGACAGTAAAAATTTGTGAGATTGCCACTTGCCCTGAACATAGGCTGCATCAATTTCACAAAAGCAAATTCATCTGGCTTTGTCTTTTGGTTTTGTCCTATTTATAGGAACCATTGTATTTGGTTAATATGAAGTTATCATATTTTTAATGCTCATATTTTTTCATATCCCTTTCAGTTATTTGCAGTAATCTTGGTTAGCTTTTCATAAATATGATTCTGAGTTTTCTCTTCATAAATCAAGCTGATGACTCAATCTAAGGCACATTTTCCACCCCCGCCCCCCTGATTTCTTTCTTTACTACATGAGGCACTTTTATCTCTTCCTGAGTTATTTAAAGCTATACCATTTCAGACCTTTTCTCTAGGCATTGCAAGTCTCTTACAGAAAGAAAACCCCAATTAGGAAAAACACGGGAAAGGAATGTATTAGTCAGGGTTGTCTAGATGGACAGGACTAATAAGATACATGTATATATGAAGTGGAGTTTATTAAGGAGTGTTGACTCGCACGGTCACAGGTGAAGTCCCACAATAGCCTGTCTGCAAGCTGAGGAGCAAGGAAACAGTCCGCGTCCAAAACCTCAAAAGTGGGGAAGCCAACAGTGCAGCCTTCAGTCTGTGGCCAATGGCCCAAGAGTTCCTGGCAAACCGCTAATGTAGGTCCAAGACTCCAAAAGCTGAAGAACTTGGAGTCTGATGTTTGAAGGCAGGAAGCACCCAGCACAGGAGAAAGATGAAGGCCGGAAGACTCAGAAAGTCAAGTCCTTCCAACTTCTGCCTCCTTTTATCCTAGCCATGCACAGCTGATTAGATAGTGCCACCCAGATTGAGACTGGGTCGGCCTCTCCCAGTCCACTGACTCAAATGTTGATTTCCTTTGGCAACACCCTCACAGACAGACCCAGGAACAATACTTTGCATCCTTCAATCCAATCAAGTTGACACTCAATATTAACCATCACAAGTTCCCCTCTTGTCAACTTGAACCCATACACATCTCCTGAAATCATACATAATCTTCCAATAAAGGCAACAATAAGGTCATCCTTATGCGTAACATAATACAGCTATCCTTTGTACAACCAAAAATGCACTAATCCTTAACCTAAATGCTATTACATAAAGTTAACAACACTTAAATGCTCATATGAAGTCAATAAATCTTATGTCACATGATGAAGGTAAAAGAAAGGCAATAAAATGAAGATATTTTCTTAGTACAAGTATATACATGCACAAACATATTCTTAACAAAATATTGAGGAAGCATTCATGACAATTACAGTCCTCATTTCTGCAACTGGTCATGTGGTCATAGCTGATATTGATGACTGCCTTCTTCTACTACCCATTCTGTATTCCCTTTGCCTTCAGCAAGCACCTCAGCAAGTGGTGGTTTTTTACCTGATGGAGTGTCCCAAATCTTCATTCCTGAAGAGTCTGGGCCATTTTTAGTCCTGCCTGGATTGTTGTAGTTTCCCATTGACCTTAACCACAGGGCGTGGTAATACTAAGAGATGTCCTAACGGATTTCCTGTATCCAACCATACTCTTCCTTACCTCCCTTGTGGAGGAGTAGGCTGATTTAATCTTGATAGTCCGGGTCAATCACCCCAGCCAACACTGTAACTCTCATCTTAGCCTGTTGACTTAGAGGAAGGAGGAGCCCAAAGTGGCCAGGTGGCAATCTTAACTTCCAGTTTAATAGAACCATTGTTGTGTCTCCTGCTTGCAGCATTCCTCCCTCTGGAACTAAGACCTCTAGGCCAGCAGAACATAATGTTACAGGGAAAGGAAGCAAAAATTTTGCTAGTGGGTCACTAGAGGTGATGGTGAGTGGTGCGACTTCCACTTCCACCCCTTGATTCCTGGACCCATGAATCCTGGCTATGGGAGAAACAGTACCATATATTGGATGCTGATTCCGGGCATACGCAGCCTTCTGGAGAACTTTGGCCCAGGCCCGCAAAGTATTGTCACCTAGTTGGCATCGTAATTGTAACTTCAAAAGGCCATTCCACCGCTCTACTATAAAATCAAAAAGGAAATTAGTTACTTTCTAGATACAATAGGGGCACAGGCATTGGGTAAATACGTCTGTTCTAAATGGAAGAAATTGGCCAAATCAAAGCGGCCATAGGCCCCATCTAAGTCTGAAATCCAATAAGGCAGTCATTAAATCTTAAAGTGAAAATCCCTTGTGCAAAATAAATAAATAAGCAGATATCTGTTAATATCTGTTAGTATCACATATGATGATACTTCCTATTAAGGAAAAGTGATTCCTGCACCACATCACCTTTTTTTTTCTGGCTTTGTTTTTGAGACAGAGTTTCACGCCATCACCCAGGCTGGTGTGCATCGGTGTGATCATGGCCTACTTCAGCCTTGAACTCCTGGGTTCAAGTGATTCTCCCTCCTCAGCCTTCCCAGTAGCTGGTACTACAGGCACACGCTACATGCCTGCTAATGGCTCAAGCAGTCTTCCCACCTCAGCCTCCCAAAATGCTGGGATTACAGGCATGAGCCACCAGGCCCTGGCCCACATCACATTTTAAAGTCAGCTACCAGATGACAAGGGTAGAAACCTTAAGTCATTGTGCAGTGAGATGATGCGGGTTTCTTTTAGTTTTCAGCACCAACTTTACCAAAATCAAAGCAAAATGAATAATGCTACTCAATTAGATAATGCATCCCTGGAGAAGTTATGATGAATGTCTTGCAAACAGATTTTCATCAATCTGTACATAATATTTGTCTGGGTAGCTTGAAAGTTTCTGTCTTCTATGCTACCTCCAAACTTTTCAGTCTTTTGATGTGATGGTTTTAATAACCAGTTCCTTTGCCTTTTCTTAGGCTGTTTTCTTTAAAGACATTTTTTCTCAAAATATAATAATCATGTAAAAAGTGTGTAGCTTAATGATTTTTTTTATAAATTATGCTTATATTTGTAACCATCATTCCGAAACAGAACACGAAGCTATCCTTATGCTCCTGTCTAATGACTTTTCCTGCCAAAAACAACTATTGTCCTGATCTTTAACTGCATAGAATAGTTTTGCCTGGTTTTAACATTTTTATGAATGAAATTTTTTATTGCCTACTCCATTTTTGTCTAGCTTCTTCCACTCCGCATCATTTGTGATATTTATCCATTTTATTGCATACACTTCCAGTTAGTTCATTTTCATTGTTTTATAGAAGGTAATTATCAATTATACTACAGATTACGTTTCCACTCAACTGTTGATAAAGATTTGCTTAGTTTCTAGCCTTTTGGTTTTTACAAATAGTACTTGGACATTTTTTATACATGTCTTCTGGTAAATGTGAATTCATTTCTATTGGATATATGTCTCGAGTTGGAAATGCTGGATTATAGAGATGGCATGCACTCAACTTTACTAGTCATTGTCAAATGGTTTTCCAAAGTGGATGAATCAATGTACATACCACCAGAAATGTATGAGAATTATAGTTGTATTACATTATCATCTAAATTTGCAACAGATTTTCTTCTTTTTCTCCTTCTTCTCTTTTCACTTATTGGGACTATAATTGTGTGACACGGTTTTGCATTATCCTAATGTCTAGTGAGGTTGAACACAGTTTATATATATATATATATATTTTTTTTTGCCACGTGATTATACTTGTGTGAATTGCCTTGACAAGTTTATTTTCATTTTCTTATTTGCTTATAGAAATTATTTATATCTTGTGGGTACAAGTAGTTTGTCAGATATCATAAATACTATGTGTTCTCCCATTCTATGGTATGCCTTTTTTTCTCTCTATTAATTGAAATTCTTAATTATAATATGTTATGATTCATCAACATTTATTTTTATTATTTATTTTCATGTATTGTTTAAGAACTATGTGCCTCCTGAAGCTAGTCTTGAAGATATTTTTCTGTTTTCCTCTGAAAATTTCATTGTTTCATCTTTCTCATTTAGATCTGCAATGAACATGGAAATCATTTTGGTGCATGATGTGAGGTTTAGGTCAAGAGTCAATACTTCCGAATGAATAGCAAGTTGACACAGCAACATTTGTTTAAAAAGAAATTCAATGTGGTACTGCATTGCCCTCTTGGCCAAAGTATTCATGCGTGTGTATCGTTGCTCTCTTTGAACGCACAAACTAGGGGTAAACTAAGAACTGCATAGTGGTTTGGTATATGAGTATAGGAGCATGTGAGTCTGTGTGTGCATGTGTGTGTGTGTGTTTGTGTGTGTGCTTGTTTTAGTTCTATTGAGTTGTAGTTTATATATTATAAAATTCAGCCAGGCACGGTGGCTCATGCCTGTAATCCCAGCACTTTGGGAGGCCCAGGCGGATGGATCACGAGGTCAGGAGACCAAGATCATCCTGGCCAATATGGCGCAACCCTGGCTCTACTAAAAATACAAAAATTAGCTGGGTGTGGTGGCACGCGCTTGTAGTCCCAGCTACTGGGAAGGCTGGCACAGGAGAATCGCTTGAATCTGGGAGGTGGAGGTTGCAGTGAGCCGAGATCGCTCCACTGCACTCCAGCCTGGCAACAGAGCGAGACTCTGTCTCAAAAAAGTAAAAAAAGAAAAAAATTAATTGATTTTAGATGTACAGTTTGATAGATTTTGGTAATTGTATGCAGTCATATGACCTCCATCAAATTCAACATATAGAAAAGTTCTGTCACTCTAGTAGGTTTCCTCATGGCTTTTTGCAGTCAACTCTCTGCCAACTCCCAGCCACAGGCAAACATTGATCTACATTCTTTCACTATAGTTTTGCATGTTCAAGAGTTTCATATAAATATGTTCACATTATATGAAGTCTTTTTTGTTTGACTTCTTTCCCGTAGCATAATGTTTCTTAGATTCACTCCTGCTGTCGTGTCTATTTGTATTTGGGTTGTTTGTACTGCTGGGGAATAGTCCACAGTATGAATATACCATGCTTTGTTTATCCACTTGCCAGTTGATGGGCAATTGAGTTGCTTCCAGTTTTGCACTGTTAGAAATAATCCTTCTAGAAACAGCAGTAAATAGGTCTTTCTATAGATGTATGTCTGCATGGATTTCTCTTGGGTAATAACTCTAATAAAGCACTGTGTAATAGAATGTGCTATGATGATACAAATATTCCTATATCCACAGTGTACGCTATCATAGCCACTAGCACAAGTAACTAGTATTTGACATCTGGCTAAGTAACTGAAAAACTTACTTTTTAGTTTACTTAATTTCAATTAATTTAAATTTAGATCTGTATAATCACATGCATCTGTTGGCTATTATATTGCACAAGGCCATGAACAGGACTGCTAGGTCAAATGATAAATATGTGTTTAATTTTATAGTATGCTAACATAGCATTTTTCAAAGTGATTATATCGTACGGTATTTCCACTAGCAAAGCATGATAATTCTAATTACTCCATATTCTTGCCAACACTTTTCAGCTTTAGTTAATTTTGTAGCTGGTTTTAAAAAGTATTAGCAAAATAATAGGTGTTTGGGGATATCTTTTCATGAGTTTAATGGCTATTTGTATATCTGTATAAATATGTTACCTCTCTTTTATTGGGTCATTTATCTTATTATGCAGATGTAAGAGTCCTTTGTGTATTCTGGGTGCAAGTCCTTTGTAATATTTATGTTCTGCAAATATTTACCCCCAAAGGTAGCTCATAAGCAACATGAAATGTGCCTTTTGAAGAGTGTGAGGGTAAATTTTATGGCCAACTTGACTGAGACACAGTGCCCAGATAGTGAGTCAAACATTATTCGAGATATTTTGGTGAAGGTGCTTTTTGGATGAGATTAAAATTTAAGTGAGTGTACTTAAAGTAAACAGATTATCCTGCCTAATGTGAGTAAACCTCTATAATTAATATAAGGCCTTAATAAACCAAAGACTAACCTCCCTTCAGTGTATTAGTTAAGGTTTTCCAGAGAAACAGAACAAACAGGACTGTATATATATATATATATATATAGGAATTTTATAAATATATATAAAATATACATATTTATAAAATTGAAATACATATAAATATTATATGTAATATATAATATATAAATATATAAAATATATATAAATATATAAATATTTATAAAATTGACTATATATAAAATAGGACTATATATATATAAAATAAATAGGAATTGCCTCACATGGTTATAGAGGCCAAAAAGTCCCACAATCTGCCATCTGCAAGCTAGAAAACTAGGAAAGCCTTTAGTGTGATTCTAAGTTCAAAGGCCTGAGAGTAAGGGGCCACTGGAGTAAGTTTCTGTCCAAGTTCAAAAGCCCCAACACCAGGAACATCCATATTTAAGAGCAGGAGCAGATGGGTGTCCCAGCGCAAGCAGAGAGAGTGAGTTCACCCTTCTTCCATGTTTTTGTTCTATGTGAGGCCTCAATGGATTGAATGGTGCCCACCCACATTGGTGAGGGTGGATCTTCTTTACTCAGTCTACTGAATGAAATGCTAGTCTCTTCCAGAAACATTCTCACAGGCATACCAGAAACAATATTTTACCAGCTATCTGGGCATCCCTTAGCTCAGTCAAGTTGACACAACATTAATCATCACACTGGGCAAGAAGGAATTCTGCCAGCAGACTCGCTTTGAGCTGAACTGCAGGCCTACCCTGCAAATTTTGGATTTACCAAGTCTGCACAATTGCATGAGCCAATTTCTTAAAATAAATCTCTATTTCTTTGTTGCCCTCTATCTCTCTTTCTGTCTCTCTCACACACACACACACACACACATACCATTTTTTCTCTTTCTCTGGAGAGCCCTAACTAATACAAAGGGTAAAGGTTGCTGATTTTGAAGAAGTTTATTTTTTGCGTTGTTTTGTTCTTTTCTAGATTGTATTTTTGTGTTCTATTTATGAAATCTTTCCTTATTCAATGTCACAAAGATTTTCCCCTTGGATTTTTTCCAGTAGTTATATGACTTTGTCTGTCATATTTAAGTTTATGATCCATTTTGAGTTAATTTTTATTTGTGAAAGAGATGGGTTGGCATTATTATTACAATTAATTATAGATTTTTTTGGTAGATTCCTAAAGAATTTATACATACTTGAGCATATCATTGCAAGTTAAAATTTATACTTTTCCCTTCCAAATCTTTATGGCTTTTGTTTATTTTTCTTGCCTTACTGCACTGGGTTAGGACCTTCAGTGCAATTTTGGATGTAAGTTTTGAAAGTAAACATTCTTGCCCTGATCCTGATCTTAAATAGAAATCACTAAGCCTTTTGGTGTTAGGTATAATGTTAGTTGTAGTTCTTATCCTAGATGCCCTTAATCAGTTTTAGGAAATTCTCTTGTATTCTTAGTTTACTCAGAGGCTTTATCATGAGTGTGAGTTGAATATTTTCAAGTGCTTTTTTTTGTATCTATTGAATAGTTATACAGTTTTTCCTTTAATCCATCAACATGGTGACTTACATTAATTTTAAATGTTGGAAAACCTTAATTTCTTAAATAATCCTAACAGTGATGGTTAATTTTAGGTGTCAATTTGACTGGATTAGGACATACAGAGATAGCTGGTAAAGCATTTATTGCTAGATGTGATTGTGAGGGTGTTTCTGGAAGAGACTGGCATTTGAATCAGTACTCTCAGTAAGGAAAGATCCACCTTCAGTGTTCAAGTACCATCTAATTGGCTGGGCACCTGGCTAGAACAAAAAGGACCAGCCTGACCAACATGGTGAAACCCTGTCTCTACTAAAAATACAAAAATTAGCCAGGTGTGGTGGCCTGCACCTGTAATCCCAGCTACCCAGGAGGCTGAGGCAGGAGAATCCCTGGAATCCTAGAGGCAGAGGCTGCAGTGAGCCGAGATCGAGCCATTGCCGTCCCTCCTGGGAGATGGAGCAAGGCTCCATCAAAAAAAAAAATGCAGAAGGAAAGAGTTGAGTTTTCTCTCTCTCTTCTGGAGCTGAGACACCCTTCTCCTCCTGCCCTTGAACATCAGAACTCCAGGTTCTCTGGCCTTTGAAGTCTGGAACTGACATCCTACACCAGTCCCTTCCACCCACCCCATTTTCAGGCGTTTGGCCTTAGACTGGGAATTGCACCATTGGCTTTCATGGTTCTGAGGCCTTTGTACTCTGAGTCACTCTACCGGCTTCCCTGGTTTTCCAGCTTGCAGACAACCTATCGTGGGACTGCTCAGCCTCCATGATCATGTGAGCCAATTCCCCTAATAAGTCCCAGCTCACATATCTGTATCTTTCTCTCTATATCCTACTGGTCTGTCTCTGTGGAGAACCCTGACTAATACCCATGGTCATGAGGCATTGTTCTTTTACGTATTGTTGTTTACAATGTCTAAATATTTGTGATATAGTTTTGTATCTGTGTTCATGAGGAATAAGCATTTGTAGCTTTGTTTTCTTAAGATATCTTTGGTTTCAATATCTTAAGTCAAATCAAATGAATTATAAAGCATTCTGTCACCTATGTAATATTTTCTTAAAGAATTTATGTCAGGTTGGTAACAGTTCTATTTAAATATCTGAAAGAATACAGCAGTATAGCCATGTCAAAATTTGTTTTGGGGAAACTTTTTAGTTTTTAATTGGATTTGACTTTTTTATTTTTGTGGGGGAGCATCAGTTTTGGTAAAATTTGACATTTGAGAAATGAGTTCATTGTACACAGGCTGTCAAGTATATTGAAATTAACTTGTTCATGATACTCCCATATTATCATTTTATTTATTTATTTTTGAGACAGAGTCTCGGTCTGTCACCGAGGCTGGAGTGCAGTGGTATGATCTTGGCTCACTGCAACCGCTGCCTCTGGGAATCAAGTGATCCTCCCACCTCAGCCTCCCGAATAGCTTTGGGGCTAGAGGTGCATGCCACTATGCGCAGCTAATTTTTGTATTTTTTGTAGAGACAGGGTCTTACTGTGTTGCCCAGGCTGGTCTTGAACTCCTGTGCTCCTTGAACATGCCTCTGCCTCCCAAAATGCTGGGATTACAGGCATGAGCCACCATGCATGGCCCATATTATCACTTTAATGTACAAGGGATAGGTATTTTCCTTCTTTTATCCTTGATATTACCAGTTTGTCTTTTTTCATTTTCTTTTAATTAGTTTAGCTACAGGCCATTTTAGCAATCCTTTCAAAGAACCATCTTTTGGTTTCATTGATTCTCCATTGTTTGTCTATGTCATTGAATTTTGTTCTTTTATCTTTATTTTGTCTTGCCTTCAACTTACTTTGGGTGCAGTTTGGTCTTTTTCTAATTTTTTAAGGTGAGAATTCAAATAATCCATCTTTACTTCTTTCTTTTATCCTTAATGTTTCCTCCTTTGGTGCAGGCGAGAGATTAAAACCTCACAAGCCAAGGCCTGAGCGCAGGAACTCTCACCCCAGCCCTCCCCAGCAGCGACAATAACAACTCAAGCCAACCATTTCGAACCTGCCTTAGGGGTCTGCCCAGCTCTCCCCAGGTGCCTCAGTTACGTAAGTGATAAACCTTTTCACACCCTTTTGGAATGTGTGCATGTGTAGCTTCATCTGTCTTGACATCTGAGCCAACTTTTGGGTGGTGGAGGGGGTTCATCTGCCTTCCTAGGTGATGACAACAGTTGTTGGTCACTGCAGCTTTCCCATGCTTGCTGTTTGCATGATAGATGTTTTCCATATATTTACTTTCATCTTTATCTCTTTGTATTTGAAGCATGACTTTTGTAGACATCCTGTAGTTGGAACTTCCATGCGCATCCATGGGAAGAGACCACCAAACAGGCTTTGCGTGAGCGATAAAGCTGTTTATTTCACCTGGGTGTAGGCAGGCTGAGTTCGAAAAGAGAGTCAGCAAAGGGAGACAGGGGTGGGGCTGTTTTATAGGATTTGGGTAGGTAAAGGAAAAAGGGGAGTTGTTCTCTGGCAGGCAGGAGTGGGGGTCACAAGGTGCTCAGTATGGGAGCCTTTGAGCCAGGATGAGCCAGGAGAAGGAATTTCACAAGATAATGCCATCAGTTAAGGCAGGAACAGGCCATTTTCATTTCTTTTGTGGTGGAATGTCATCAGTTAAGGCAGGAACCGGCCATCTGGATGTGTACGTGCAGGTCACAGGGGATATGATGGCTTAGCTTGGGCTCAGAGGCCTGACACGGACTAGTTTTGAAATCCATTTCGATAACCTCAACTTTTAGCCATTGTCCATTAACATTTAATGTAATTTTTCATATACTTGGCATGGAGTCTACTATTTTATTATTTGGTGTTTACTTATCTCGTCTGTTTTTTGTTCCTCAGTTTCTCCTTTACTGATGAGGACTAAGCTCTGATTTTTTTGTCTTGCCCACATTCCTATCTAAGGGGTCTGGGGAGTCATGCTCTAATAATCATAAATAAATTATCATCAGCTGGGTTTTATTTAACCCCGTATATTGTGACTTACTTTCCAACCTGACTCTGGCATAAGGTTAAGAGACAAGGAAGGAAATCAAAATATTTTACCCCAAAACATGTTTCTTTGCCATATCTTGAAATCACCCTACAAAGCTGTCCTTTGTGAGGGAAAAATTGCATCTGTAAAGAATCTCTATTAACATAGCTACATTTTTTTCTTCCAGGCCCTCCCAATCCTAAAGAGATGAACTGAAAGTCTAGCACCTTTTTAAGATCTGAATAGGAAACATTTGTCATCTATTGTCTCTAAGGGCAGCCACTGTAAAACTTCCAAAGAATATTGGTCTCCACCATCTTTAATCTTAACCTGAACATCTCCTTTCTATGGATCCCAGGTCTTTAGACAAACTCAACCAATTTTCATCCAGAAAGTGTTTAAATTTACGTATAGCCTGGAAGCACTCCCCTTCCTTGGAGTTGTCCCGCCTTTCTGGACCAAAGCAATGTATTTCTTAAATGTATTTGATTGATGTCTCATACCTCCCTAAAATATATAAAATCAAGCTGCACCTGACTACCTTGGGTATACATTCTCAGGACCTCCTGAGTGCCATGGCACAGGCCATGGTCACTCATATTTGGCTTAGAATAAATCTCTTCAAATGTTTTACAGAGTTTGACTCTTTTCATTGACACTGACTTTTGCCAAATTAATTAAATCTTTTTAGAATTCTATTTTGTCTATTGGCCTTTTAGCTAGACTTCTTTTGTGTGTGCACATGTGTGCGCGTGTGTGTGTGTGTGTGTTTACTGGTTGCTCTACAGTATGAAATATATGCCCTTAACTTTTTATAATCTAAGCGTTGTTAATATTATACTAACTCATATAAAATATAAAAATTTTGCAACCATATGAGTTCATGCCACTCCCTAATTTTTTATAATTACTAATATGATATGGTATTGTATCACATACTCTAGGTTATATACTTTATAAGAAATATTATAATTTTACTTGAAACATATAATGTATATAGAAATGAAGAGGAATAAATAGGAAAATCATTCCTTCTCTCTTTTTTTGCATTTACTTGGACATTTGCCACGTCTAATATTCTTCGTTCCAGTTCCATTCTGCCAATTTGTGTTCCTCTCTGGTATCATTTCCATGCACCCTAAAGGACTTTATTTATCATCTCTTATAAAGCAGATCTCTTGAAAAAGAATACTGTCAGTTTTCTTTTATCTGAAAATGTCTTTATTTGTCCCACATTTTTGAAGGATATCTTCACTAGAGAGAGAATTCTGAGTATTTTTTTTCTTTTAGCACTTTACAGTTACTGCTCTACCCTCTTCTGACCCCATGGATTCTTATAAGAAATCAGCTAAAATGTGCTCATTCTTCTGCTGTTTGTAACATTTCATTTTCCCTTGCTGCTTTATTTTCGCTTTTAACAGTTGACTAATGGGAAAATCTGGGAAGTCAAGCAGGTACAGCCACTGCAGATGAAACAAAAAGGGAGGATTGCAGGGAGATCAATGGGAGACTCCTGCCTCTGTGCAACTACTTCCTCTGCCTGTGCACATCCAAGGGTCTGGTGGAGCGCCTGGCATTGCCCTTGATCCATAAGGCTAGAAGGTAGGCAGATGAAATGGACATGGAAAAGAGGACAGAGAATTATCTGAGAACTGCTGGACACTTTGCTTCCGTTTCTTACCGCATCAGACCCGCTATGTCTTTCTGAGAGCAATAACTTATCTCTCCAAATCTCACTGGAGATTAATGAGGAACAATGAAGGTTTTCAAGCATATGTGAAGATATTGTTTTATAGATTTTGCTCTGGTTTCATTGTGGAGAATGACTTGCGGGGGCGGGTGGTGGAGGACATAAGAGCTCCATCACCCCTGTGTAGGCAACAGCTGATGATAGCCAGGACAAGGACTGCAACAGTGTAGGTGGTTATGAAGACAATGTCATCAAGGCACATGCTGAAGGCAGATCCGAAAGGACTTTGAGGTAGATTAGATGTGAAGGAAAAATAGGAGGGATGAGTCAAGGATGATTCCAGAAAAAAAAAAAAATGGGCAAATGGTGGACATAGAAACGCTGAAAACAGAGCTGATTGGGAGTCAGGGTAGAGAAAGAATTGATTTAAGGGCATATACTTCAGGTTCTTGCATCACAATCACACAGAAATGTGCACTGAACAGTCAGAGGTATGTGCCAGGATCTAAGGACATTGTACTGAGATGAAGATACAGATTTGAGAATCAACGCAAACTGATGATAACTGAAGATATATTATAGATAAAATATCCCCGAGGAATGAGGAGAACAAAAGACTAGGATAGGAATTACAGGGTGAGTAGAGGAGCCCACTTTTGGGCCTGAGATAGAGAACTGTCTTCCCTACAACCACATATATTGATTGTTAGTGATGGTAAAGACTTTCAAGTCATATTCTGATCGTCCATAGAATCCTTGCTGTGTTACAGATCATGATGCAATAGTTAGGTTCACCTTTTATTAGGTTTATATTTTTTGTTCCACTTTTTTGTTCCAATAAAAATGAAGCATCTTATTAATAAAGATGTGATACATGTTTCACTACTCCGGATGGCCATCAACCTAACAGACAAATGAAATGTCAAGATATCTCTCTGGGTACTTCTAATTACAGGATTCTATTTATGATGTAAATTGTACTTGACAGCTTTTTCCCAACTGGAATCTTACTTCAAATGGTTATCAATTTAGCAGTGAAAAGGAGATACAGAATTCTAAAAGAAAATTACAAATGACTACCTGCTTAGACAGCCGTAGTTTTTAACTTCCACATTCTGGTAGTTTAGGTGGTAAACCTTATTAACCACATGTCCAGTTAGATGCTTACTAAATACAAGTAATCTTATTTGGACATTTAAAGATTGAGTTGTTTAAATTCATACTTTGAAACAAAGGCCAGATTAGACTTTATAAATCCACCTGCCACTGATCATCCTTAAGCGGCTGCTTAAAGAGATTTTCATTTCTATCTTGCATATTATAATTAAAGTTCAAACTTCAAAGATAAGCAATTATCAGGATTCACTAAATTAAAGATTCAGTTGTCTCTCTGGAGAATTACTTTTTACGGAATTTCCCTAAACTTTTATCTTTTCTCTTTTTAATAATAATCATTTTATTATTGAATAAAAAGGTCTCAGATACAACCATCCAATGGGTTTTTCTGCTTCTGTAGAATCCTTGATGTAAAAAATAATATTCAGAGAAACAAGTTAATTTAGATACAGTGTGGCATAATTACCTTTAAGCAACACATTTTCACTGACAAAACTATTTAACAGCATATAAATTGACTTAGCACTTGTTACAATACAAAATGCTATAATCAACAAAATTTGTATTAAGATATAAATGTTTATCATCTGTCATCTGGTGTAGGTAGGGTAGTTGTCTTCATGTTCTTCTGAATGTAACACTCTGTTGATGCTCTTCATTTTATTGTACAAATTTTCTGTGTTAGCATCGGATAGAAACGAAGTGCTTTTGTTCAGCATGTTTTTCTTGGTTTGCATATTTGCTTAATTGAAAAAAAAATTGCATGTTTTTAGATAAGAGATACTCTTTCCAATTCACTAATGACCCATCCAGCCCATGTCAGATTCTTCATTTAATTGACCGAACTTTACCTGTGTTCAGCATTTGGATTTGTAATTTTTGCAATGATTTACCTATGTGGGACCTTCTCAGTGCCTGTTATTTTTCAAAATTAGTTATTCTTATTATTAATATGTCAACACCTAAATCCTATTAACAAAGCCTCCTTCTGAATGCATCAGTTATCACAGCATATCATATGTTAATGTCACATGTAGCAAACTAGCCAGGAAAAGGCCCAGCTAATTTCACATCCTTTAAAGAGAAGTGTTTATTAGCCTGTACACTCCATGCATGACAGTTTGTATTGAAATCATTATTAGGACTAACCTCAATCCAGCCTTTTCAATCTTAGTCATAGATAATTGTCATAAATAAAAGAATACGTTGAAAATGCCTATATACTTAGGTAGGTGTTGACATTGGGATGAAAATATTATGTAATTTATTTTATGGCTAATGTATGTTTGTACAACAATTTATAGAGTGTAGAGATAGGCTTATGTTAACATAATGTTCCTTATTAATAATTGTCCCACTGTGGCTTACGGGGTACTCTGCAGTGGTTTGATTCTACTTTATTTTGATATCCAAGTACAATTAATCCCCTTTGGGGTGTCCCATGTTGTTTTGTGCCCTAATTAAACTGGGCCAGCATTGTCTCTTCTTGGTAAAGACAGCTTTATTTACCGTTTGCAGAGATTTCTCATGCTCTGCATACATAGTTACCTAAGCTTAAGGTTTTTCAGTGTGGCTTCTTCTTTAACGATGTTATTTCAAAGCCATCATTAAATCCCTGAAGCCAAGTACACACTGCCTGGAAGGGTTTCTTTGTGTAAGCTTTTTTCTACTGCTTTCCTCTTCAGTCCGATCTCTCGCTCCTGTTGCCGCCATGATGAGGTCTTGGCTGTGAGTGAGATTTCAATTTGCTCCTCTTATAGGAAAAATAAATTCAAGGTTGAGTTAAAGCTGAAAAAGATCTACATTGAGAAGCAACGTAGATTCTATGGCACATTCAAATATTCATTCCGGTTCTAGCCATTTGAGGTTTATTCATGTCTGGAATTATGTAACTTCAGTTATTGTATTTGAGGTATTTTAAATGAGTTTTTTAATATATCAGTTAATAACTGCACCTGAAGTGTCAAGCGCTACTTCCATTAGGGTGGATTCATTTAGTAGCAAAATGAAAACAATCTTCAAACTCAGAAAATTGAACTCTGTTTAGAGATAATGCATGGTAGGGCTGAAGAGAAAGGTGACAGATTGAGGTTAAATTTAGCTTATTGGTTTATTTGCTTGAGATCTGTATTTTAAATACATGTTAAATAAGGTCTGGGGGCCTCCATATCTGAGTCACGCAAATATTGGTGGTAGGCCTGGTGATGGATGGGCAGGGTGTGAGCGCCAGTTCCTCAGTGGGTCTGGCCGGCTGTAGATGTCAGAAATGGGAAGCAAAACTCGCAACGTCAGTGAAACAAACCACATCTGGTTATCACTTTGGGTTCCGATCTGACAAATCAGAGTAGGTCAGTGAGGTCATGCGTAGCTGAAGGGCAGATATAAAGACCAGGTTTGGTCCCCAAACAGGAAGATATATAGTTGGAATCTGACTGTCAGTGGTGGCTTTTGAACTATGTAGCTTAAGGTTACCCAACATCAAGGCAAACAAACCTGCCTTGAAAGGGGAACTGTCTGGTTTTGCTAGGCTCTTGCTCACATTTCCATTGGTCTAGGTTTTCGGTGAGGTTCCCCCTGGGTTCTCCTTTTGCAGGGGGATGGAGGGGGCTTCCCTCAGTACAAGTAGCAACTGAGATCACATTACTTTCTTGGGGGTTTAAGCACACACCAGGCTTCTGGACATGGATTCTGCCCAGATAATTGGGAAGCAAATATACACCTATTTTTTTGAATAGAAACAAATTAACGATTATAGTAACCAAACATCACAACAAGTGACAGCTAAGAAAATAGGCTGTAGAGTCAGACAGACACACTCAGAGGGTATTCATTCCACACACACTGTTGTGTGATAGAGAAAGTTACTTTGAGTCTTAAAATTATGTCTGGGAGAATTTTCCAGACTCCTAAACCAGGCTAGGTCATATTGGTGTCTGCTTTTTTGGTGTCTCCTACTGACAGTACATGCAAAGCCTTTACAACAACAAAAACAACAAACAAATTTAAAACCACTTGTACAATATACCTCTTCACTGATAAATGTGAATCCCAAGAAGCCCACAGGGCCCTTAGAAGGTCGCGCCATGCTTAGCTTGTGGACATTTTTAGTTAACTGACTAAATCTTCCCTATCCTTGAATTGGAATTAAAATAATATTTACCTAAAGGATTATGAGAATCAAGTTACAGAGTATGTTAATCACTTAATACAGCCTTTGGTTCTTAGCAGGTGTTGGATCTTTGGTAATTTCCTTTCTCTGAATAAATTACATCCAAAAGTGGAAAACATACTTTTGCTGTATTTATAAAGTGTTTTTTAACACTGTTATTTATTTTAAAGAAATATTTTTGTGTTATGCTTTTTTAAACAGCGATCTAATGAATTCCCAACTCAAAATTCTACCTGTCTGGATTTGGCAATAACACTAACTGAATTTAACACATATTATTTTTTCTGCTAATGCTGCATTCCCTAAGCTAGTTTAGAAGCAAACATTTGGAATAGGCATATCCTCTTCATAACAGAACCTATTATTTGTCTCTCAGTTTCTGTCAACCTGATATGTTTCTCCATCCTCTCAGGCAGAGTCCCCTTCAGCTTAATGGATAGCTTCACCTTCCCTACAGACATAATCCATTAAAGGACAGCATACTCCTTCCCTCCCTCGTTTAAACACAGTGCACAAAGCTTAATCCATAACACAATTTTTCATTTTAACAGAAAAGCATTAACATTTTATAATAGTTGTGTCACATAGAAGAAACCCTCCTAAAGAAATAGTATTGTAAATAGCATTTATTACACCACAGCAATGTCGAGTTGAGATATTTGGCCCATTGAACTCAGTTCTCTGTCTCTGTCAATTGAGCACCATGTTGTAGGGTTACTTGAAGAGCTTTGGCATAAACTCACTCTTGGAGTTGTTTCTAAATCAGCCTGCTTTAAAAAATGGTCTATTGTGAATAGGAGGGATAGGATGGGATGGAATTTTTCTTCCATATAACTGACTTTGACATTATAGACGTTTTTACTCCGTTTAAGGATCTTTTCTTGCCTCTTTTAGGGATTGAGCTGAAATAATTTCACTTCCTATTAGTGACTTTTTGCTTTCCTTTTGGTTTGTGAATATTTTTTAGACTCAGGATTAAAGAACGTCCCTCTATTTAACACATTTCAGAAATTTATCATATGAGTCTATGTTAACAGTATTTGTAATTTTTTTGTAAACATCATTGCTATTTCCTTGTAGACTTTCTCCTTGCAGACAGAAAAGTTTCTTTTTGATAGTCTTTGTTTTTCGTTGCAGCAAAAATTCTGGTACTTTGTAATTGTAATTTCCATTTTTGTATGTCTGCTGGTTCCATTAAACTGTATGGATGCCCAACAATCAGTATGACTTATGGTATTCCATTTCCAAAAATAAATTGGACTATGAACTTATCTTATATCTATCTTTATAAGTGCATTCTGAATGGTGAATAATTCACTCAGACTGGCTGCTATGTTCTTTATGTCCAGAACAAACATATATATGATGATCGATTGGCCTCAGCAATTTCTGAGCTGTGGAGTATACTTTAGGAAGTGCTTTTCGGATGCGTTTGCACTTAAACTAATCTAGTTTGTACTTAATATAGGAAACATTATTAAAGAAAAGGGTAGAATTGAATTTGGTTGTCTACTGCTTTTCTTTATCCTCTGTTCTAAGTCTAGTCATTTGCTGTCAACACTGAAGGGCCCCATATGTGTTCTTTCTGACCAACTGTGTACATAATGGTTATGTGAAGATTAGCAATTAGCTCATTACAGCTAAACACTGATATTTCAAATGGATTTTATATGCCTATGTTTTCTTATGAGACCATGCATAAATAGTTTTCATCCTGTCTTGAAGTGACCCTGGGTTGGAGTGCTATACTTAAAACCAGACGATGCCCAAAAGCTTCTGGCTCGAGTCCTGTATTTTATAGGTGAAAAGACGTAGGCCCTGACAGATAACACGAGGTGTCTAGAGTCACGCGAGTGGTTATTGTGGACCTTGGACCAGAGGCATTGATATCTGTGGTGACGTTGTAGGTTTGAACTTGTATCACTTTGGGCCTAAAAGTTAAAAATAATATCACTTTAAGAAAATAATATCCCAGCTTTAAAAGATTGCATGCTTGTTTTATTCCCCTTTAAATTAGGGGACCTATTAATACTCAGATAAGAAATAAGGCTGGTAGTAGTCTGAGGTATTTTTTTTCCCCTCACTGAAGTGCCATTTCCTTTGGTTTTATTTTTTTACTTTTAAAAATGGTTTTTATAACTGCTCACAAAGTATTTAAAAAGGAGGTCATTTCATGGTTTTGATGCAGGCTTACTCTTGGTTTAAGGAAAAATTAATTGGTTAGTACTCAGAAAACAAATATACTTAAAAGGAAAATACGTATGTATGAAAACACGCACATGCACGTACACATATACACTCATACATGTACATTTGCATTTTACTTTCATATCTATTTATATACATGAATTACTACTGAGTAAAAAAATAATTTCCTTAAGTTATTATGGTGCCAAACATTTTGTGGGTTTATTTGTAGAAATTTAAATTGATGCTGTGATATATTGCAAAGTTATATTGAATTATATTTATGTTGAGGAAAATTATATTGAATTAAGAGGGGAAATGTTATGATTCATTCATTTTTGCTAATATTTATTTCAGATGTTAAAATATTTTATTAATGCTTTTCCTAGAGCTTCATAAAAATTGATCTCTGAATATCATTTAAAATAACATAGGAAAACATTGTAGTCTTTGTATTACACTTACTTAAAGAATATTATAAACTACTTCTTCCTCAATGCATTACTAATTGGAAGTGGAAGGGACAAAAGAGAACATTTTCTAAATTTTAAAATTCTAATAATTTTTTTCATGTATCTTTTGTGACCAAGTGTCTACACATATCTGTGTAGTGATTAAACTGATACATTTTCATTGTTTTTGCTTTATAATTGACAATCCTATTCACAGGTGTTTATACATTTATTAAGATACAGCTAAAAATGATGTTTCAATTCAATTGAAAACTCTCATAGTTTTTATTTAATTTTCTTTTGCTTGATTTATTAATTTGTATTTTCTCTCCTATTGTTACGGTATGGTATCTTTCTGTATTCAACTTGAGTATTGTCATTTCAAGATGGCCTTCTGTGACTTCCAGACTCTTCCGTTATATATTCTGATCATATGCTGCACTTCTTGTGACATTCACTACAAGTGCAATTTATTTATTCATTTTTCTTGGTATAGTCTGTAAATTCTACGAAAGGGTCTTCCTTTTTACCACTTGATCCCTATACTCTAGGACAGTACTTGGCACGTAGTAGACGTTCAGTAAATGACTGAACAGGATAAATGGACCAAAAAATAAAGGAATTGATTGCCATAATGCATGTGGTAAAGCACATATCGTGGAATTCCACATCCGTGATCTCACCGTTGAGAATGTTGCTTCATTGTCAAGAGTTAGATGCCAATTGTTCTTACCAATCAACACTGACCTGATAAAGAAGATATCCTGAATGAGTAGAACTTCTCTTGATCTTGCACAGACTATTACAAAAATTTGAGAGGAATTAACTGAGGCGTATATAATCAAAAGGAATATGTTCCCTAAAATGGCATAGGGGTTTCAAAAAATTCAGATGAGTAACAATAATTTCCTGTCATTTTCAATGCACAAGTAAGCAAACCAATGACAGAATATTTTCAAGTCACAGATTGCTTAAAAAACCCTCCCCCTCCAAACATTAAGAGAGTTCAAAGGAAAAGGTGCAACTGTGATGACCTCCTTGGGACTGACTTTAAATCATGAGATGATCCAGGTAAGCTGTATGCTTACATGGTCTGTAATGAAAGCAAAATGAGTCAGATTCATTTCACCCAGGCCAGCCAGAATTAAATGATAAGAGAGAGGAGAGAATTTCATTGCTGGTTTTAATTTTAGGAAGCATAATGCACTTTGGGTTTTGGCTCAGGGATGTAGAAGGCTATAAAGAGTACATTCCCACCCCAGCAGAAAAACAACTGGATAAACTGCAAATTAATGACTTTTTTTTTTTTTTTTAACCCATCAGAGAACAGGAATTGCAGAGCAAACAACTAACCTGTAACCTGGAAAGAGACAGGTGCATTAGGAGGAGATACAGGACCCTAGCATTTGCTTGCCTGGGGCACACATCATCAAACACCATTTAAGCCATTGAAAAGATTTATCAAGAATTGCTAAGCAAATTGCTTGAGGCTAAGTGTGAGTGAGTAGAGAGAGTGAAACTCCTTCATGATGATCCTCACAGGGAAGATCAGGGAGAATCCACAGACAGATCCCTTTGGTACTGGATGGCTGAAGGAACAGCGGCCACTACCAAGATGTACCCAGGCTCATGTCCCCTATCACCTCTATGGAACAAAAGGTTTAATTATTCTCCCTACCTGTGCTGGGCATGCAAACTATCTCCAGGCAGTAAGCTGGAGCAATCACAGGCCTCACGTTGTTAGCTTCCTCTCACAGGTCACTTGCCTTCCTTGCCTGATGGTGGATGTCTTGAAAACCATTATCATGTGTATTTCTGGTTGTTTTAGGCATAAGAGTAAACTGGTTTCTGTTAGTTCACTTTGTCTAGTCACAGGTTCGACACCAATGAGTGAGTTTTAGGACCAAATTTACAAAACAAACAAACGAACAAAAAATTCCCTGCAGCATTTTGTGTTTTAGAATTGCGAGTAAAGAATTCTGGACCTGTATGTACAGTCTTCACTTGGCCTAAAGCACAGATTATAAATTCCTGAAGTGCAGAGTCAATTCTTGTACTGAGATGTTCTGATATCCTTATATTTTATAATTACAATTTTACATCATGGGATCTCTACAAGGTACATTTGTTATTACTATTATTTCCTCTCTAAAAAATTATCCTGTTCATGTTTATGTAAATTATACATTTTTTTCACTGAAGGCATTAAAAAATGGATGATGTTTTCCAAAGCATCTCTCAATAATATTTTATAATCTTGTTACATATTTTAGTAAGGGAGATTTCTTGAAGGGTTATTAAATTGATGTCTCAAACTGATTCAGGGCCTAATTCCCTGAACTAGTTTAGGAAAAATTTTAAGTTTTTCAAAAATGCAAGATTGAGTCATGGAATTTTTAGGGTCATTGCTAGTCAAACTCTTTACCATAGAACAAAATTCAAAAGGAACATTACAGTTTTTAAATTACTTCATTCAATGTGTCAGCTTTGTTTCTGAATGGCTGTTCCTTTAATTGCTCTAATTCTCATGAAAATCAAAAACCGTATTTTATTCACTCTTCCTTTAAGGCAATTTCCAACTCAATTTTCCTTATCTCCTGTTTTGTATTCCTAGTTTGATACTTTTTCATGTTACATATTTTATATTAATTCAAGAGAATGTTCTCTCAATTTGTACTTTATAATCAGAAATATTTGGTATTTTATTTTTATTGATATGCACATCTCCCAAACTGGGCAACAAAGTGCCCTAGGACATTATGGCAAACTCACAGAGTACTGTGAGATATCTTAAAAATGTAAGAAATCATAGTGATACCAGATACGATGGACATTGAGTGAACTACTGGCTTCAGTGAGTTCAAAATTCCAACATTAGCACATGCTATATTCATTTCAAGTGGAACATATCTTTGCAAAACTGTTTTTAGGCAATTGCTGTGATAAATAGCAAGAACCGTGCAAAAGATGAAGTGGAATATGAAATGAGGGGCTGGCATTTAGTCTGATTCTGAGATTTGAGGGCTGTGGATACCCAGCAAATACTCATATCCCATAAATCATTAATTATGGTTCATCAAGAGTGAAAAATAATTTTATCTCATGCATTATTGTTATAATGTGTAATGTTAAGGGTATTATAAAGTTGTTTAGCTTTATCTGTTTGATAAGATAAATGGGCATTTGTTTGTGGTACTGTGAAACAATGAAAGATCCTAAGGGGCCATGAAAGGAGAATGTATTGGAACCTCTGTGTTAAAACCTTCACTCAATGGGCCATAGTAGTAATAGTAATAACAATGAAAATAAAAATATCTGTAGTATATAATTGAACATCTTCATACCAGGAGTAGTACATGTTATTTTAATGCATACTGTGAAACTATAATATTAAAATTATTTAAAGACTGAGAAAATGGAAGATCCCTCCCATTTTTATCTACATAGCTATCAGGTGGCTGTTCTAAGTGTTAAATCTATGTCTGGAAAAGGCAAAAATATTTTAATATCGTCATCATGACTATTAAAATAAACATAGTATAACTATTGCCCAGGTCTGCATTAATTTGAGGTTTCTCGATTTAATTTTTAGCTTAATTTTTTTAAAACACTTTATCTGTTAAAAGTGAAAAGAGAATGAAAAAGAAAATATTTTTGGGCTCTAAGATTCTATACTACACAGATCTTTATTTATCCACTTCCAAATTTCACAAGATCTTTTATCATTTCAAATTTAGTATTACTTCTGCTTTTTATTCAGTCTCATAATTGACGTTAGTTTGTGTAAGAATCAACGAACGAAGCGACATTAAATTTAAAACCAGTACCTATTATGTAGATCTATGCAACGAGTGTAAAAAAGATTCAAAGCAGTGAAATGTGGTAGGAATTAAAATATAAAAAATCTTTGTTATACAAATCAAATAAGAGCAACTGTGCTAATTTGAACTATGAAACTAATATAATAATCTTAATTAATGGAAAAGCAGAATTATAGATTTTATTAGGAAAAGTTACTTTCATTACCTTCAAATACATTTTTCAGCTTATTTTAGGCTATTACTGTATTAGCAAATAGAGGAGCTTTACTTCTTAAGTTTAACTAAATTGAAGGTTTGTGAAATATGTCTAAATTAGGTTTTGCCAAATATGTCTAACTTAGATTTTGCCAAATAAAAAAAAATCTTTTAATAATGAGATTATTCAAAAACTACTTTGATTTTCTATGCTGTGTTCCAAGCTCAATGTTTTAATGATTAAAGAAAGTGAATTATAAAACACAAGACAGTTCATTAAATTTAGTTTTCTTGAGAAGAAATCACTGAAAAGGAATATACACCAATGTTCCTTCATTTTTCGGATTAAAAAATGATATATAATTACAAAGAGTAAAATAAAAAGACTATAAATGTATAAGTTAATGAAGCTGACAAGTAATTACACTTGTTTCACGAACACCTTAATCAAGATAGAGAACATTGTTCTCACCACAGAAATCCCTAGTTCTTAATTCCAAACATTCTGCTTTTCTTTGAGAACCAACAACTATTCTAATTTCTACACAGATTTCTTTTGCCATCTAGACCTTTGTAAATTGAATCATATAGCACATTCATGGTTGTAACTGAATTATTTTACTCATACAATAATTCTGAGATTCAGATATGCTATTGCATGCATCATTAATTCATTTATTTTCCTATCTGAGCAGTAGTTCATTTTATCAGCATACTACAATTTAAAAATTCCATAATTTGACATTAAGTACTAATTAAACAATTATTTAAACTTAATTTTCATTTGATTTATGTTAATAATAGTTGCTTTGAAGTCTGGGACAGCTAAATTCACCTTCTGAAACCATTCAATATCTATTCTGTTGACTGCTTTTGTTACTTGGATATGGTTCATATTTTTCCCTTTCTCTGTATCTTGTGATTTGGGGGTAGAAGCCAGACATCATTGATAATGTATTGTAGAAAGTCCGGAATCTGTTTTGCTTCTTTAAGGATTCTTGGTTTGGGGTTTTAGGAGGCAGTTATCCTGGGCTCCACCTGTGAAATTTTTCTCTCCCGCAGAATGAAGCAGCTGTTCCAGTTACTATTGCTGTGTAACATATTATCCTGAAACTTAATGGCTTAAAACAACCATTTTATTATTATTATAGATGATGTGAGTTAGCAATTTGAGAAGATCAAGCTAGGATGGCTTGTTTCTGCTCCATTGGGACTGGTCCTTCACTTGTAAAGACTCAAATATTGAGGTGACTTTTTGGCTAAAGGCTGGATTCAGTTGAGGACCACTTATTGCACCTAAGCTGGGATAACTCAAAGGCTGATGAAGCACCTATATGTCGCCTTTCCATTTGGTTTAGATTTCTCACATGATATGAGTCTCAGCATAATGAAACTTTATTTTGTGGTTGAAACTTTCAAAGGTGATTGCCCCAGCCAACATGGCAGAGCTGCATGCCATTTCTGTCTTAGCTTCAAAAGTCAGGCAGCATCACTGCCACCACATTCTAGTCAAAGTGAGGAATAAGTTGGCCAGGATGCAAGCTGAGAGGGCATAGTTCCTATTTCTGGATGGGAAGAAGGTCAAAGTCATATCGTAGAAAAGCATGATGTGAGATATTACTAGAGTCATATTTGAAAAAAAAACCAAGTAACCATCTTTCCTTATAAATTCTTGAGTATATTTAAAATAGTTATACAGTTATTTTAAATCCATGCCTGCTAATTTCAATACCTGGGATCTTTATAGATTAGGTTTTGTGATTTTTCTTTTGCATTTTTTCTTTTCTCAACATATTTGTATTCTTTGTTTGTCTAATTAGATTTGATTGTATGTAGTATTTTGTGTATATTAATAGAAAAATAGTGGAGATTGAAGTAGACTACCACTTTGCTTTTACATTTTGCAAAGTATGTGAGCTTATTCCTTATAAACAGATAAAGTAAACTGGTGATCTTTCAGATTTCTACTGAATTTTGAGTTTATTGGGGATCTTGGCTGCAGCTTTAAGAACATTGAACTATGTGAGTCCTTTTTGCTTTACATTCTCAAGTTATTTGCTCTTTTTTTTGAACAAAATTCAGAGGTTGAAGAGAGGAGAATAATTGCAATACTAAGTAAAACATTGTTAGATTTTGGAATCTTTCAGACTCTAGTCCATTCCTGCCTGCTTTTACCATTGCCAGTGACTCTGTTAGTCGTTCTTTGCCTTTAGCAAACCTTGTCTTTTAGTGACCTCATGTTTACCCTCCGAAGTTGCCACAACTTGCTGCTAACCTGTGACGGTTTCTTCTCTTTGGAAATCGATTCACCAAGCCTTTTTTTTTTCTTCGTCCACTGCTCTTTGATAGTCCCATTCTTAAGATTTTTTTATTTTATGTGAATTTTTATTGATGTTACTGTAAGAGTGATAGTGTTTTAGACTGTTCTTATCTTAATCAGAAGAAAAACCTGTTTATTCAGCTTTAATGTGACAAATATTTAAAGAGGTGCAAACCTGCAGAGATTGATATATTTCTTCTTGTCAAACCAGGCTTACCCTCTAAATCTCTAGAATTTTTTTTAATGGATTTAGACAGTAAATAATAGTCTAAAATATCTGTTATTTAATTTTGAAATATTTAAAGTTCCTATATGCTTATACACATAAACACACAATTTACATATGCACAGTATGTAATTTGTCTACTTGATAATGACATTAAATATTATAATTTATTTCATAATATAACTTACCAGAGGAAAAAAATAATATGCGAGCAGCTGGGTTGGGCTGATGTTATATAATTATAGGAGTGCCTGGAGAATACTCATTCAAGATTAAAATAGATTAAAACATACTGGGTAGTTCCTAAAATAGATTTAATATGCAGGATTTATAATTAATTTCAATACAGAACCTAATTTTTGGGAAACCAGTGTTCTCAGGAAACAGTTTGAGAAATATTATACATGAATTCTGAGAATGGAAAATTACTTGTGAGCTGGAATCATCAGCAGTAATTCCTCAAGGAAGTTGAACTTTGGGTAGACTTTAGGACTGTAGAAAGTTTGGAAGAGATGAAAGAGAGAGGCTGTGGCAATTCCAATTAGATTTTGTAGGAGACAGAGAAGCTGAGAAGAGGGAGTGTGATGTATGAGTCAGAACATGGACATGGGAATTGGATTTGCCTGGACTGGATGCAAGTTCTGCCCTTTAACTGGTTTGACGATCCTAAGCAATTGAAATCCACTGAGACTTCATTTTTGTTCTGTAAAATTGGTAGTGCCATTCTTCTTCTAAGCTGTTAGATCGACTAAACAAAACTTAAGTGCAAACTTAGAGCAGATATTAACACACAGATCACTCAATACATGTTAATTTCCTCCATTTCCAATACATGTTAATTTCTTCCTCCTCCCAATAGAGTAGAGGGAGCAAAATATGGGAAAATGGAACCTAAACAGGAAGTGGGATTAGTTTAAGAATTTTGCTATTTCTTTCTTTAAATCATTTCTGCTGCTGTTACCCATGTCCAGTAAGAACAATCTACTCATTCTTTTGCTCAGTCCTACAACATTACTTTAATTATGTCAATCTTCTTCCCAAGATTCTTCTAGAGTAAATATCTATGATGCTTGAACTCCAATGTCTATCCCGCGTTGGACTTTGCCCATCCACAAAGACCAGTGCCTTTGTACATTTGAAGAAAGAAGTAAAATTTCATGAAGAAAAAGATGTACTGGTAGTATCTCAAATTCTTTACTATATTGAAGACCCTAGTCTTCATTTCCAAGCCCAAAGACACTAGCTTGTCACTGCCTAGGGTGAGCAGGCCATGAGAATCTGAACTAATTAGGCAGAAAGGGGATCTAAATAGTGACATGGACTACTAATAAATTTACACTTAGAAAATATCTATCATGGGAACTAGAATGCCCTGTTTCCCTTGGACACTTTGCATATCTTCTTTTGTTATTTAAGTTTTTCCTTTTAAGTGCATTCACGGCACTATTCATAATAGTATACTTCAAGGGTATCCAATCTTTTGGCTTCTCTGGGCAACATTGGAAGAATTGTTTTGGGTCACACATAAAATTCACTAACAATAGTTGATGAGCTAAACAAAAATAAAATCACATAAAAATCTCATAATATTTTAAGGAAGTTTATGAATTTGTATCGGGCCACATTCAAAGTCATCTGGGGCCGTATGAGGCCCACAGGTCATGGGTGGTATAAGCTTGGTGTATTCATCTTCATTACAAAGCTTAATGTGCTAGTAAGAATAATTGTCCAATGTTACCTCCCATTGTCAGACTCAGAAACCAATATTTGTCACACTCAAGTTCTTATTTAGGCTAGTGGGTTTACCACTGACCAAATTATTCTGCTACATGTTACTTTAATAATTTAAATATCAGAGAGCAATCTTTTTTCCATCGTTATTAGAGTTTGGAAGATCATATCACTTGCGCCTGTTTCACAATAATTTACATACCACTGCTGCTATTCAATATCTACCCAGCTTCTTATCTGATCTCCTCAGGAAAAACCTTGATGCTCTCAAAATGTTTTCCTTTGCCACCAGAGTGAACTTTATAAGATGCAAATCTGGTCATGTGACTTCCCTGCTACAATCTTCAATTGCTTCCTATCACCTTCATAATAAAGTCAACCCTTGTTTAGAATGTCTCGGGGGCGTTTCATGATTGAGCCTTTGTTCATCTCTTCCATCCACCCTCACAGATGTCCAGGTCACCACAAATGTATCATTTTCCTTTTAACTCTGGTTTCTTCCGCACAATGACTCTTTCCCATTTGACGGCCCTAGTCTCTCAAGTAGGGCAGTCCTGATCATCTTTCAGGACTCTTTCTAGCGGTTTCTCCCATAGACAACTCTTCTGAGCACCAGTTCCTCATGCCCCCTGTACTCCAGCTGGAAAAGTATATTATTCTCATTTATTGCTGCATGTATGTCTGTTGGTTCTTCTCTCTCTAAGGTAGTCCTGTCTTTTGTATCTCACTGCATGATTAGCTTTTTGAAAGCGCAGAACTAGGTCTTATCCTATGTGGTAAACCTTGTTTTTATGCAGTGCTTGACATAGAGTATGCATGTGATAAATGTTTGTTGAATAAATGAATAAGTTCTTAATCGCTCAATGCATAAATAAATCATTTATATCTTTGTCTTTCTGAATAGGAATTTGTTGCCTCAACCATGGTTCTGCCTCTGGAAATCGGTCTCATATTCTTTTTATATCTTTGATGGTACAAAGCATAGTATTGAACATATAGTAAATACTCAATAAATCATTTCCAGTGGCTAGATTAATGTGTTACATCCTGTAGCATTTTAGTCAATGTTATTTTTGTGGTTGTGTATATGTATTTAACTTAAATTATATTTCTAAGACTAACCATAGAAACAGAAACACATCCTGAATGAAAACAAGTCTGAAAGATTATGCTCTTGTTTTTGATCCATAGGAATATCTGGTTTACCTATCACATATTCTCTATGCTAATTAAGTAGTCATTATTTTCAAAATAAAAGCTCCTGAATTGCATTAAGTGTTCTACAACCATTTAAATCTTACCTTTATTGCACATACTCTCTTTTTTCAATAGGGATAGACAATTACCATATTCATAAGTGATATGTACAATAAAATTTTCAAGGTAAACATTTGTCAAGCTTTGTATATTCTTTTGTTTTTGCTTTTTGTTTTGTATAAATGTAGAGGTTACAAGTGCAGTTTTGTTACATGAGTATGTTGTGTAGTGGTTAAGGCTGGGCCTTTAGTGCAGCCATCACCAGAATTACGTACACTGTACCCATTAAAGCTTTACATTTTGATGAAAGGCAAGAAATTATGTGACTTTTGTGTGAAATGAAAACACGCTTCTAAAAATTAAAATACACTTTATTAATACATTGTAATGGGCTTTAATTACAAATAAGACACTTAAGAAAGCAATATGTATACTGTCAATGGCTGGTGTTTTTGATACTGCAGTAAAAACAGAATAGGACAAAGTAAATAGAGCTAAATGGAAAACTTAAAATCCTGTTGGCCGGGATGGACTTCCCTGTGATAGCTTGCATTACTTTTCTATTGCTGCGATAAAAAATTACCATGAATTTAGTGGATTAACACAAGATACATGTATTGTCTCACAGGTTTATAGGTCAGGAGTCTGATGGACCTGACAGAGTCCTTGCTCAGGGTGATTGAAGGCCCAAATCAAGGTGCTGTAGGGACTGCATTCCTTACTGAACGCTCTAGGGAAGAATTCTTTCCAAGCTTGTTCAGGTTGTTGGCTGTATTCAGCTCCTGGCAGTTGAAGGACTAAGGCAGGCTTCCTTGCTGGTGGCTGGCCAGGGGCTGGGCTTTGCTTCTGGGGCTGCTCAGATTCTTTCTCATGCTTTCCATAAGATCCAGTCTGGCCAGGGAGGTCAAGCTCCTCTCACACCTTGAAACACATCATATCTTTCTTGCCTACAGCTGGAGAAGGTTTTTGCTTTTAAGAGGTCATGTGATGAGATTGGGTCCATCTGGATAATCCAGGATAATCTCCCTATTTTCAGGTCCATAAAGTTAATTACATCTGCAAATTATCTTTTTCATTGTACTAAAACAATTGACAGGTTCCAGAGAGGAGGGTGTAGACATCTTCAGAAGGCAATTTTTCTTACTGAACAACCTGTAACATTAGAATTTGGAATAAAAGTCCTCACCACAGCCCAAATTCCTCTTAAAGCTTGGAAGATTTGGTGATAGAACCAATAGATTATCTTGATAGGTTTTCTTTTCTTTTCTTCTCTTTTTTTTTTTTTAGAGGGATAGACATTTAACTTTAAGCTGTCATTTTTCTTAATATCTCCATTTAAATACTTGGGTAGATTTGTAGAATTTTAATGTAAACATCAAGAACTTCAATATATTATATCCAGAAATAATTAATTTCAACAACATTTATATTTAATAAATATTATAATTTATTATAATTTATTACAGTATTACATTTTAATAAGTGTCTAGCAAGATTAATTGAGAGCAAACTATTTGTCACTGAGGCTCACTTTATATTGACTGGCTTGGCTTTTGAGTAGTGAAACTTTAAGACTGAAATGGTCAAAGGAAAAGAGCTGGCACCAAAACACAGGAAGAGACAGAAATTGGAACACTCTATGGCTTAATAGGAGGCAACAAATCACTGAAAGCTGATTCTGGTTCTTCTGAAGAATTTGTGGAAATTAGGGAGAAGACATGGAATTGTGCATGCAAATCTCTTTTTGAGATAAATTTTACTAAGGAAATAAAACATCAAAGAATGTCTCTGAAGGAAGCAATCAATCTGACTTTTCATCGATACATGTTTTTCATAAGTTGTAACTTAACAATGTTTGGCGGTATTTGAATTTAGAAAACAGGATAAACAATCTCAGAATAGTCACACTCTTCAGTTCTAAGGAAATTGAAGACAGGTATATGATGTGTGCTTAATTTGAAGGAAATAGTATAAGCGAAATATTCCAGCAGGAACTGCTAAAATCTTTTTCTTACCTTTTGTCCAAACGTTGCATATAACTTTACTATATTACAGCAGGTAAATACACCCCTTGATGTACTAGACATGGCTGTCCCACTTTCACGTTATAAGCTAGAAGTGCAACTCTGCTACTTCCCACATTATTGTGAGCCCTATAGAATCATCCAGTCTATATTAACAGCTTATTGGCAGGTGATTCTGGTAATTAAATATGAGACTTAATTTGAGATTTTCATCTGAAATGTTTACCATCACTTCTCACCATTCTATGCCTGATCTATAATAGGAGGAAGGGACAATATTCACTATTAATTATGTTGTTTCCAAAGATTTTAAAGTATTTCTGGGTGCGAATGTAATATTTTCTTAGTAGGGACCAAACTGAAATTAGATAAACAAGTTGTGATTAAAGGCTATAAAGAATATAATCAATTCAGTCAATTGTAGGAAAAGGAAGGAAATAACATCACAAAAGTCAAATATTCTTTTGGGGTCCAGCTTGGAAAACACATTGGTTAATATTCAACATTTTACAATTCTCTCCCATAGGAAATTTGAATTAAGGTGTTATTTTCATTAACTGACCCAAAATATTAGGAACTAAGAGACAATAAAGCAAAAAGGAAAAAGAAACATGAAATGTCAGTACCCTAAGACAATTTTATTAATAAACAACACTTTGCTCACGTATGTATTCTCTTGCTCTAATTTTAAGCATTAAGATTATTTCTGATTTATGCTAATACAAAAGCCCAAAATGGTATCTCATTTTTAAAATTATATTCATTTGAATGCATATCTATGGAATATATTTTATGTTTTGGGCCCATTGTATTTCTTCTTTTGTGATACATCTACCCAATGGCCTATTTTTCTACTGGGGCACTTGTTCTTTCCTTAAAGAGAGGTTATCAGCTTTTATCTATGTCATATATCACAAATAATTTTTACTAGGAGCTAATTTGCCTTTCAGTTTTACCTATGGGGTTTTACACTTCATAAATTGTATTTATTTATTTATTTAAGTCTATTAAAAATTTTTGTTATTTCTAGCCTTTTAATCATCCTCAAAAAGACCTTTTTAGTATAATATTTTAAATTTGCTTATATATTCTACCTTTATAGCCTCATATTTTACATATAAATCATCAATTTATCTGAATATTATTTTGGTATAGTTCTTGACGTATTTTTTTCCAAAATAGCCTAACTAAACGTTATTAAATGTATTGACAAAATTATCAGTTCCTTTTTATTTAAAAAGATGTATATTGAAAATGTATCTATACTTGTATCTACTTCTTGACTTTCTGAGTCACTGATTTATTGGCCTGTTCTGATGCCAAGAACACAGGCTTTTGATTAATTAGCTTTATATTTTCAACATTTGATAGGGTTTATCTTCTTTACATAAGCTAAAATTTCATAAATTTCTCAAGTTTTCTTTCATCATTATTCTTTTACATAAATTTAAGCTATATTTTAACATCTATCAAAATTAGATTGAGGTTTTAATTGGGATTATCTTACATTTCTAAATTTATTTTGAGGATAATTGAGTCACCACCCTCAGTATTCTCATCTTTCTGGCAAATACCTTACTTCTCCACTAGGAGAAATTTTTACATATGTACTAATATTATAGTCTATCCTGATAGTACTTATTTGATTTAGGATAGGTCTACTGGTATCTACTTTTGTCTGACAATTATTTAAAAATAAATGTTACATTTATTTTTAACCTCAGCTTATAACAGATTTCTTTTGCCTCAATAATTCTACTAGTTATTGAAATCAGATACTTAATAATTGCTAAATTGTAATCTGGGTGCTACACATCAATAATTAATTTAATATAATGAGCTACTTTGATCTTACAGTTTAGTAGAAAGATTCATATTTCCAGTGTTGCTTTCCCTATAGTTACTCTGACATTTGATCTTCCCTCTTCTGCTATAGTTCGCTTTTCATTGCCTGTCATCCCGCTCTAATATCTTCTGTACAATGTCTTCAACCCCTTTCTCACTTTCTTCTCTTAGGTATGTGATTTTCTCAATGCCATTCTCCACATCACTTATCTAAGTTTGGGTACTATTGATTCTGCTCTTTATTTACTTTATGTAATTTTCTTCCTATTTTTATATTTTAAAATCCTCTCATACTTCATCAAGACCAGTTTTTTTTTTAAAAAAAAAGTATTGCAAAATAGGAACCACAAGACTTCCACGTAATTTTTCTTTTTCCTTTTTTTTTTTTTTTTTTTTTTCTGAGACATGGTCTCACTTTGTTGCCCAGGCTGGGATACAGTGTTTGTGTTTTTTTGAGAAGGGTCTCATTTTGTTGCCCAGGCTGGTATCCAACTCCAACCTGGGCAACAAAATGAGACCCTGTCTAAAAAAATCACAAACACTGTTCCCTGCAGCCTTGACCTCCCGGACTCAAGCAATCCTCCCAGCCTCCCGAGTAGTGGGACTACAGGTGTGTGCCACCACGCCAGCTAATTTTTGTATTTTTTTGTAGAGATGAGGTTTCATTATGGACGTCCAGGCTGGTCTCCCAACTCCTGAGCTCACGTGATCCACCTGCCTCAACCTCCCAATGTGCTGGGATTACAGGCATGAGCCATTGTACCTGCCTATGTAGATTTTTTCCATAGAGAAAACTTTGATTTGTATTTCTCTCCTTAATTGCACTTTAAATATTTTCGTAAGTGCTTTCTCAGTTGTTTGGGGGATAACAATCACCTGAATAAATACATGTGCTATAACTATTAGACAAAATCAATGAAGTATTCTTAAAAAATGGAAAATGATGATCTTTCATTATAATGTGTGCTGATAATGCAACAATACCCAACCAAATACAGATATATAAGTGAATCACAGCTTTAAAAACCACATTATCCTTTTCTCCCATGAATCTATCAAAATTTCAATTAACCTGCAGAATCTATATTTAGCTCATAGAAAAGAATAACTTATTATAATTATATCTAGGATAATTCATTCACCTACACAGAACATTTTACCAGAATGGCAGAATCCACCCATCTCTGGGTGGCTACATTGACACTATGCCTCAGATAAAAATTGTGTCATATGAAATCATCTTATAAAGTACTCTTATGCTTTAATAAAGGTAAACTTATAAAGTTTTTTATGAAGAAGTACAAACAAAATTAATCTTACATACATTATGTCATTTGATTTAATCTTGAAAAAGCTACTATGACCTTCATAATTTTATCATCCCCATTTTTCCAATGACTAAAGGTTAGGCTCACATTTCTGTTTACCCTAGTTAATTCAGCTAGTTTAAAGATGAGATTAATGCTCAAACAAATGTCTTTAGACTCTAAAATAACGACTCTTTCTACAACAGTTTTCTGCTTCTCAATAAAGGTGATGCTTTTAGCTTTCATAAGTTATGGGAAATTATGCTTCTTAAAAGTGGGAAGAGAATATATTTAAGCAAATACAAAACACTCTGTTTCTGAAAACTAAAAATTCTCTTTTCTGTAGGTAGATTGGAGAATACAGAAAAATGGAAAAGTAACTGGACCTTATAAGAACTTTAACCTGGCTTCATTAACCCCGTGCTTTGACTAATTGAAATAAACCTGTTGCATCTAAGAATTTTGACCTAGTAAAAAATAAAGATAATAACTGTGGAATAGAACAGTTATCACTAGTCAAATTTAAAAATCGCATTGGTCTTTATATAATGTTTTGCTTTAATTCATTTAAAATTCGTCACTTTAAATATAAACCTTGTGGGGAAAAGTTTGTCATGACCAGAAGCTAAAACCTGGAACTTATAAAGCTCAAACATGGGTTACTGCTCTGATAAACTCTTCAGTATAACTTTCCCATAAGCTCTAGCTCAAACGGAATGCAAATACTTTCCACAGTTAAATCCCAGACTTTGACCTAAATGCAATTTGCAGAACTTTCTGAAGCTTGTGTTCTTGAAAGGTGCGGGGGTCAGCTGACACGGGAATCAATCCAACAGTCAAGAGAGCTAAAGATAATTATATTAAAACTGTCATGAGGATACACACACACAAAAGCTAGAAACCTTGAAGAGTTTCAAGTCATCAACTGCATGACAGCTGTGGCTATCTCAGGGAGTACTTTGCTAACTTCTAAGATGAAGTCACAGTCTACTCTTTAAGGAAAGTGCGTTATTTATGTAATGTTTTGAATTTTGTTTTCTGAAATGCTTTTCTATGATGTTGTATTCTAAATCAGAGTATTTACATGACCATATGTAACACTTAGTCATCCTAACATAGACCACTAAATATACCAGCAACTGAAGTAAATTAATTTGATGTAGTTCGACTGACTTGGTAAAATCAGACTTTCTAACTTAAAACTATTGGTTAAAGGAGGTAGAGCAAGGTCTTAGAAGAACCTGAGGATGACAGGATTAATAAGGAAAACTCCCACATGTCAGGCAGTTTGGATCGGTTTTCCTGAAGTTGGCTTTCTAATGCCTACTATTCTAGAGTTTCTTTGTTGACTTCCAAAATAAAAATAAACTCTTCTAGTTAAAATCAAATTCCGAATAAAGAATGGCAGGGATCCTGGTAGAAAAAATACAACTATGGCTTTTAGGCGAGATCACTTTATATACCTATTTCTATACCATTATATATCTCTATATGCACTCACATGTATATAAATGTTTAGATATTTGTGTATATATATGTTATATGTGTGTATATATTTAGGGTTATGTGTGTGTTATATGTGCATGTATATAACACGTTCATTTTAAGACAATTAAAAAGTTTTTTCAAATATTCACAAAGGGTAGACATTATTTCCCATCACAGCATTTTTTTTTTTGCAGTGATTGCAGATGGATCAGGAATCTTCCTAGTTCTCCTTTAAGGCATGCTGCCTGTTTTATTTTCTCATATCTCCTCAAAATGCATCGTGGGAGCATCTGACCTATACTATTACCTCAGTTAATACTGATTAATGCAGGATAAAGTTTGTAATTTTTACTTTGAAAAGGACACATTGTAAATAGAAAGCATATGTGTAAAAATGATGAAAAGATTATATTTATTTTCAATGTGAAAAGATATCTATTTTCTCCTTTTTTTTTTAGATGGAGTTTTGCTCTTGTCGCCCAGGCTGGAGTACAATGGAGTGATCTCGGCTCACTGCAACCTCCACCTCCCGGGTTCAAGAGATGCTCCTGCCTCAGCCTCTCAAGTTGCTGGGAATACAGGTGCCCGCCACCATGTCCAGCTAATTTTTTCTGTAGTTTTAGTAGAGATGGGGTTTTGCCATGTTGGCCAGGCTGGTCTTGAATTCCTGACCTCAGGTGATCCACCTGCCTCGGCCTCCCAAAGCGCTGGGATTACAGGTGTGGGCCACTGCACCCGGCCTCTGCATTCATTTTTAAAAGAGGCATGTATACTACTAATGCTAAGAAGACCACCAGGCAACGCACTCAAAGCCTTAGAAGCTTGTTTTTCATAAGAGCTCCTCAGAATCTGGGAACATGGTCTCATCTCAAACAAAACAAAAGTATAAAAAACCAAAATGGTGCAATATATTTAGAATTCTGGTTAATTTCCACTTCTTCTTTTCCCTATAAACATTTTTAATATTATTTATTTGCAATTAGAAGCTAATGCAACCTGTTTCAATAAGTCAAAATCATATGTAACATATAAAATATAAGATTTACATGTACATACAAATCTTACCCCACAATTCACCAATATGCCTGTCTTAAGGTAACTATCCATATTAGCAATTTTTTGTTTGTTTGTTTGTTTGTTTTTTGAGATGGAGTCTCGCTCTGTCGCCCAGGCTGTAGTGCAGTGGCGCGATCTTGGTTCACTGCAACCTTCGCCTCCCAGGTTGAAGTGATTCTCCTGCCTCAGTCTCCTGAGTAGCTGGGACTATAGGCACCTGCCACCACACCCGGCTATTTTTTTTGTATTTTTAGTAGAGATGGGGTTTCACCCTGTTGGCCAGGATGGTCTCAATCTCTTGCCCTCGTAATTCGCCTGTCTCGGCCTCCCAAAGTGCTGGGATTACAGGCCTGAACCACCAGGCCCAGCCCAGCAGCTTCTTTTGAATCATTCCACACAACACATTTTTCAAATATATACAAACACGTTCTTATATATTCTCTATATATGCTATTTAATGCTTTCTCAAATACATAAATGTATAGATAAGATTGACTCACGTGTAAAGATATATAGTTTAATTTCTGTTACAGTAGCTATGCCTTACAATTCTGGTCACTGACTCAAGAATCAAATGAGGTCTTTTTTTTAGGAGGATGGCAGGAACTGTTTACTTATAAATTATGAGAAAGGTCTAAAAACGATGTAATATATGCATCCAAAAATGACAGCGCTGCTAATACAAAATATGAATGCAGGCTACAAAGAGAAAATTAATATAGTTGTCTGTTCTACAGTCCCATACCAAGAAAATATACAGCATTGCAGTATAGCATTTCATTTCTGCTGTTTTAAAATCTCTTATGCTAGGCACCTCTCTTGTCTCATGTTTTGGATATGCGAACAGGGATGTGAGGAACCCACTCACACTGTAATCATATGGACAATTTGTGTGTGTGTTGTTGGGGTGGGGGTGTTTAAAAAACACACGAGGCAATTTTTGAACAAGGGGACAGGAGGCAATAGATAAATGCTCTTTTTTTTTCTTTCCAAACACCTGATCAAAGATACATTTCATGAGGCTTCTTTTTTTCTGATGAGATCAGGCAACCAATCAACTAACTGTTGGTCAGAATCTACTATTGGCAGATGAGTTGATAACACATGCTTTTTACTTTTTATCTAAGGGATTATTTACAATTTCTATGTCACCTTTTGCCAATAAAAGTCCTGAAAATATGTTCCTTCTTTTGATAAAACCCTATATAGTAAAAGGAATGAAAATGAGTTTGAAGAAAGGCTGAATCTTCCCCATGTTATTAGTCCATATAATATGGAACCCTAGACATAAAATACTAGACATAAAAAAACTAGTTGTAATGAAAAGAAATGTTTTACTAGGCAGCAATGTAAACTGCAATCATTAACCAACTAATAATATACTAAACGACTCCTCTGTGCAACTCCACAAAATCCTGGGTATAACATAGTAATTATGTTTACAGAACAGATAACATGAAAACATTCCCACTCTAAAAGATCATGAAATTCTGGATAAAATATAATAACCAACATTTAAATGCATATCCAAACTCACAAAAAAGTATATATTGAAGAAAATTATCTAACACCAGAGAATTAAATGGAACTGCAGGGGCTCACTGGTAAAACACCAGCTACAGAGTGGCATGTACAGTTAGTACAATTCTAAGAAAAAGCTATTCTAATATGTGTATAGTACAAGTGAAATGGTTAATGATTCAGACAATGATTACCAAACCTGGCTGCCTATGTGTATTATCAGTATCAGGATGTAAATTTATTAAACGCGTAGTGCCCACTGGTATTCACCCAAAATGTACAAGTCAGAATCTTCTGATAACTTGTACTTTTTACCAGTTTTCCAGGTGATTATTATGGCTCCAGCTCAAGTACAGACTGTAGACTATGGGAACTACTGGTTTAGAGAAAGACATATATCATTGAACCTTATTTAAGAAGTTATTACAAATCTCCTCAGAATGAGAAACAAATTCAGGAAGTTTTTAAGGAATCACCTTTTATAAGTAACCCCCAAATCCAAAGCAGGCATTTTACAGTAAATTTATCACAATTTCAAAGAACAGAAACAGGTTTTGTGAACCATCCTATAATAAAGAAAATCATGTAGACTCGTTTACATCCTTTGTATAAGGCTATCGAAATCTTATTACTGAATTTCAGCAATTTGTTATTTAATTCATATCCAATAAACTACATTAATATAAATATAATGAGTTAAATACAAAAATGAAAATAAACTTGATGATAACAAGAAAAACTTTAAATCAGGGGCATCCTATGTTTCAGCTTCACTGGGCCACACTGGAAGAAGAAGAATTGTCTTGGGCCACACATAAAATAGCACTAACACTAATGATAGTTGATAAGATTGAAAAAAAAAAACTCAAATAATCTCATAATGTTTTAAGAAAGTTTATGAATTTGTGTTGGGCCTCATTCAAAACCATCCTGGGACACATGTGGCTGTGGGTTGGACAAGCTTGCTTTAAATTTCATAGAAAAATAATTAATAAGAAATGTGTAGGACACTATAAAGAAAACTATACAAATTTACTGAATGATTAAAAAGAGAAATTAAATAATTGCAGAATCTTAATTGACAAATTATGTAAAAAGTTGATGTGTGAAGAAAATTAGGACAATGTTAGACAATATAAAAATGTAAGAAATTATTGTGTATGTACTGTGTATATGTTACTGTATTAGTCCATTCTCACATTGCTATAAAGATATACCTGAGCCAGGGTAATTTATAAAGGAAAGAGGCTTAATTGACTCAGTTCCACATGGTTGGGGAGGCCTCAGTAAACTTACAATCATGGTGGAAGGGGAAGCAAGCACCTTTTTCACAAGGCAATGGGAGAGAGAGGAGTAAGCAGGGGAAATGCCAGACATTTATGAACCCCTGATATCTTGTGAGAACTAACTCACTATCACCAGAACAGCATGGGGAAAACTGCCCCCATGATCCAATCACCTCCTTCTTTCAACATATGGGATTACAGGTCTCTCCCTCAACACATGGATATTATAATTCGAGATGAGATTTGGGTGGGGACACAGCCAAACCATATCAATTACAAATTTGGAATTATCAACCTATTGTGTTGTTGACAAAACTTGACTGTACATTTGATCAGAAAGTTTGAAACAGGATTAAGTCTATCATTTAGAGTACTATACTTTAGAAAATTATGAATAATAAAATAAATTCTCTGCCATATGGCAAAGACAAAATAATAGAGTTTCAATTCTTGTCAATGAAACTTTAGAGCACATGGGGTGACCGTGTAGAATGGGAGTAGGACACTATAAGGAAAACGATACAAATTTACTGAATGATTAAAAAGAGAAATTAAATAATTGGGGACTCTTAATTGACAAATTGTGTAAAAAGTTGATCTGTGAAGGAAATTAGGACACTCTTAGACAATATAAAAATGACCATTACTATGGTAATGTGTACTGAAATATTGACTTATAAATATATATATATATTTAAATATTCACATTAACAATGGTTCCTGAACAAAACATCAAATACCTAAATAGATCATTGCCTCAAATCGACCTCCAATATCACACAAAGATTTTATTTTTTCTAATAGTAAGCTGGATCATTCTATTGAGGTATGTCGGATATCAATAGATTCTACAGGATCATTGCCTTGAGAGGCACTGCCATTTCAAGCATGTGTCCCAAACTAACCTTGCGATTCCCAACTAACTTCCAGCTTAGTCTCTTCTTTTCAACTTTCCCACCTTAGTAGATGCCACCCTGATGATCTAGTCACCGAAGTCTGGGATGAGTCTGTGATAACTGACTGATCCTTACCTTTTAGATCCACTCTAATATGAAGTACTACCAAACAGCCTCTGGAATGTCATCTTCATTGAGTCTAGATGTCATCATTTGAAAGAAACACAATCATTGTCAGTACCATGAGAAGAGATCAAAATTAAAAACTGCCAACTCAACTAGGATGCCCCTTAACTTTCAACAGATATCTTAACTTTAAGGATGTTAATATTCACCAAGCTCACAGCCATCACAGCAGCAAAAGTGAGGATCACTCTCACTTGGTTGGCCAAGAGAGGCTGTAATAGTCTTTGCAGCTATGCTATTACCTTACTGTAATTGATCCACACACAGCAGCCAATCATCTTTAAAAAATGCAAATCTTATGCCTTCCTGTGTAAATCTTTCATTGATTTCAAATTCAGAATATGAGTTTTAAAAATAACTTTTCCATGGTCTACAATACTTTGCATGATCCTGCCCCTGACCCTACCCAAAACTAGGTGGCAAGCTGCTTTCATTCATTGACTCTGCCTCAGCTCCTTTGCCTTAACTATGATAGGCTTGCCGTGGTTCTTTTTATCACAAGTCCAATTCATCCTCCTGCCCTCTAATTCTACTCAACTTCTCAAATGGCTGCGATCACTGCTGTTAATCTTTAAAGATTAACAGGATAAACCTTCTCTGACCTTCAGACTAAGAAAATTTCCCTCTAACCCTTTTTTGTACTTGTCATAGAACTTCATAGAACCACATAGAATAACAGTTGCAGTTACTAAATCATTTAATCATGTATATAATAAAACTTTAAACTTTTATTGCACTCTAGCACACATACAAAAAGGACACAAAACATAAATGTAAAGCCCAAAAGATTATCAAAAGCAAACACTCATGGAGCCATAATCATTAAAAAAGAGAACATTACGCACATAGCAGAAACGTCCACCCTACATGCCTTTCTCTACAGTTATCCTTTCCATTGATTTTTAAAGTTACTTTTGTTTCTTTTCTTTTCATACCATAATTTAGGAATGAGTGTTTTAAACTTTTTCGATCATACCATTTTGTTTCATGGTATTTTTGTGTGTGTGTGTGTTTTATTTTTTATTTTTCCACTTAAAATAGTATTTGTAAAATTCATCTATGCAGTTGTGTGAGTGGTTCTTTCTCACTGCAGTAAAAAATTTATTTATCCAGTCTTTTATTTTTGAATGTTTTCAGTTTTTGTTGATTACCAATTTTGCTGCTATGACGTTCTTATACTCATGTCGTAGTCAATATTTTGACATACTTATTTTGGTAAAAGTAAGAGTGGATTTGCTTTGTCATAAGTATATGTCTATTCAAATTTGATAAATCATGATGATAAATTATTTTTGAGTGTGATCATAATGACTTACATTTACAATATATAGAAATATATGGAAACATACATATGGAAATTTCCATTGTCCCAGAACCTTGCCAATATGTTACATTTTAGTATTTTTCTGGGTATAGAGTCATATCTCATTGCATTTTTTATTTTTCTTTCTCTGATGACTAATTAATTTGATTATATTTTATTTTATATTATATTTTATATTATAAATATATATAATTTTACATTATATTTATATTTTATTTTATATTATAAAATTTGGCCAGGTAGATGTGTTTTTTGAAGTGCTTGTACAAGTCTCTTGTCCAATTTTTTTATTGGGATGTATAATATTTTCTTACTGATTTTGTAACTTTATGTTGAATATGAGATATTTCTCAGTTTTATTTAAGCTGTGGCTTGCCTTTTCGTTATATTAATGTTTTTTAAACAAACATAAGTTGTTAATTGTAATGCACAACACTTACTAATATAAAATTGCATCTGGTGCAGTAAGGGAACCAGCATATTCTTTTTCAAAAATGGTCAAATGATGGCAGTTTCATATGATTCAACCCAGCGGTTTAATTTTCCAATTACTCCCTCTATGGATAGTATTTTCCATATCTTTTACAAGGTATTTGTCTCCCCAAGATCATTATATTCTCCTGTTATTGTAGAGGAGATTGCTTGTCTTTCTGTCTATATTTAGTGCTACAATTTATCTGAAATTCATTTCCTTGAGGTTTTCACACACACTGCAATGTCACTCCTGCCATAAATCACGTATCCACATGTCTGCATTCGTTTCTGGATTTATTCTTCTGTTCCATTGGCCTATTTGTCTAACATTGCATCAAAACAACACTCTTTTAAATACTGCCTTTTAAAAGTAACATTCAGGAGATAATGTCTTTCCACCCTATATTTCTGCAGGAGACTCTTTTCATGTACAATTTAGATTGAGTTCCTCAAGTTCTTTAAAATAGTTGGAATTTATGTGGAATTGCATTTATTTATTTATTTATTATTTTATCTTCTCATGTGACTTTGATTTGTTTGGGCTGACTGCAAGATATGTGAAAGTTTTGCAGATAATTTGAGCCCTAGGATGTGTTTATCTTCCCCTTGACCTGATTTAAGTCTGCATTTTAAAGGTATCCATGGATGCTAGAAATCCATTCTTACCTTACTTAATTCAATTATAAGAATAATATGACTTGAGGCCAACTCTGTTATTTTTTAAGCCTGGTATACTTCTGGTTCACCCTTTCTTTAGTATAGGGGTCAGCAAACTATGGGCTTGTGGGAGAAATGTTGCATGCTCGCTGTTGTTGGAAGGAAGGTTCTATTAAAACACAGTGACATCCATCTATTTAAGTGTTATCAATGGCTGCTTTTCTGGTACAAAAGTATAACTGAATAGTGGCTACAGAGATAGTATGGCCTGGAAAAGCTAAAATACTTACTCTCTGACTCTTTATGGAAACTGTTCGCTGACCTCTGTTTCAGAATACAAGTTTTTAACTGAACAACGAGAACACTGGACACAGGGTGGGGAACACCGCACCCCTGGGCCTGTCCTTGGGGGGAGAGGTGGGAGGGATAGCATTAGGAGAAATATGTAATGTAAATGATGAATTAATGGGTGCAGCAAACCAACATGGCACATGTATACCTATGTAACAAACCTGCACGTTGTGCACATGTACCCTAGAACTTGAAATATAATAATAAAAAAAGAAAAAAAATCAAACATTACTAAATTGTATGTCTTAAAATGAGAGTCCCCAGTAATCCTACTTCTAAAGAGAACTACAGTTGTGAATGTGGAAAAAAAAAAAAAAAAAAGAATACAAGTTTTTATGGTCTCCAAACAAGGCATGGTGGTTTAATTAGGATTTCCCTCTTTCGCATGATCTGGATTCCAATTTTTCTCTCCAGCCCCAGGAGCCTGCCGCCGCCACTGCTCAGCATCTTAGCCTCTCATTTGCCTCTTCAGGAAATGGCAGATGTCCCTCCTGGAAAACACGTACCAAATGCTAAGCTTAACTATCTGTGTTCCATCTTCTCTTGCTTCATTGCTCATGGGTCTCATCAAATAGCAGCATTCCTATGTGTTCAAACACATTTTAAAAAACATATTTTCTAGTATTTCTCACCATTCTCAGCGTAAAGGTTGGTACACATTACATAATCTGCCATTAACACCAGAGAAAATTCTGTATCTTTTAAAAAATGTGTTGGTTTTGCTAGAATACCCACTTCATGAAGTTAAGTTGTGTCCCTGTTTTTTTTTATTCTAACAATGTATCTCTAGGCTGTAATATGGAGTTTGCATCGTATTAAATAGGTGTGGTGTCATATAAAGCCGTAGAACTCAGGTGCATCTGCAATTTGGATTATTCCTTACATACAGCATTACTTTCCTAAGTTGACCTATCTTCCATCAGAATACCCAAAAGCTTGATAAATACGATTCATATTATAAAACATTAATAATCCCAAACTGCAACATGATACTTTGTTATGTGAAAAAATGTAAAGTTTAATTTTTTTAGTTTGACACTTGAATATATTAAACTGCTTTTGGTTGTTAAAGGTCAGGAACTTGTTTTAAACTTTAGAAAACTGCTTTTTTTTCTCCTTTTTGGAATAGATCTTTCATATAAATAATAAGTAGGCTTAATGCTTCCCCTCAGAGAGCAGACCCAGATGTCTGTAGAATAGAGCTTTGGTTCCAAATAAGGTTCGTTTTTCTGAGGGCCTATAATTGTAATTCAAGGGCTTTTGAGTTGATTCCCTACTGGAATGTAGAGAGGGTCTTATAAATAGCCTCTTTTAAAGGAGTATAATTTATATGAAGTGGTCATTCATGTTATAGGGTCAATTAACCAATCTTTATGATTGAGAAGAAAAAACACCAAATATATGCTGTCATATTTTCAAGGAAGTTCTCAAGAATGTGGAGATGATTATGACTGTGTGCTAACATGGATTGTTCAGACATGCATATGAGGGAGAATAGTACAGACAATTCATTGTATATTTTAGTTTTAAAATCCTCTCTGTGATGGATCTGATCAGAATATCCAACAGTAGTGGAGAAATCATAAACTTATAAAATGAAATTTAGCCTAATTTTTACATATTACTTTACTCCTTAAATTAATGAGACTCTATAAGTAACTATTTTGTTTTAATAGAGAATAGCTGTTTGATGTCTTTCTATCCCTCCTTTTCTTCTCTGATGGAGTATCGGCATATATTGGGAAAGGATCTCACTCCTTTGGACTCATGGCAGTTGAGAGAAGACCAGATTCTAAGATCCCTGTAGAGTTCATGGGATCTTCCTGGGGCTCTACTGCAGAGATACTTGATCCACCACTTAACCCTTTGAACATGGAGAGGTAATCAGAACCCTTTTACTACTTGGGATTGATCATACTGGTTCCCTTACTGCAAATGAGATTTAGCCTATGATACAACAGCCCCACCTTCTACAAACATTCTGGGGTGCTACCACCTAACACATCACCTCAGTGTCGCCTCACTGGGTAACCTGGAACTTCCAGGCTCCTTGCATCCATGTGCAAGCTTTGGAGACCTGGAGCTCCTACATTAATTCATTGACCTGCTTTCCCTCTGCTGACACTCTCCATCATACTCTTATGGTATGCTCAATGGCTTATTTATACATTCTTTGAACTAAAAATTTTGGCCAGGCGCGGTGGCTCACGCCTGTAATCCCAGCACTTTGGGAGGCCGAGGCGGGCAGATCACGAGGTCAGGAGATCGAGGCCATCCTGGCTAACATGGTGAAACCCCATCTCTACTAAAAATACAAAAAATTAGCTGGGCGTGGTGGCGGGGGCCTGTAGTCCCAGCTACTTGGGAGGCTGAGGCAGGAGAATGGCATGACCCAGGGAGGCAGAACTTGCAGTGAGCCGAGATAGCGCCACCGAAGTCCGGCCTGGGCGAAAGAGCAAGACTCCGTCTCAAAAAAAAAAAATTGAGTGCCTCCTGGGTGCAAGGTGGTGCTATATAAAAAAGCTAGAAGCTAGAAGCACCTTAAATGCTAGGTCGGGTATGGTGGCTCATGCCTGTAATCCCAGCACTTTGGGAGGCTGAAGTAGGCAGATCCCTTGAGACCCGGAGTTCGAGACCACCCTGGGTAACAAAGTGAGATGCTGTCTCTACAAAAATAATACAAAAATTAGCCAGCCGTGGTGGCACATGCCTGTAGTTCCAGCTAGTCGGGCGGGTGTGAAGTGGGAGGTTTGCTTAAGCCTGGGAGATCAAGGCTGCAGTGATCTGTGACTGTGCCACTGTACTCCAACCTAGGTGACAGAGAGAGACCCTTTCTCAGAAAAACAACAACAAAAAGAAGTACATTAAATGCTAACAGTATTTATCTCTGTGCATAATCTAATTAATTTTACTTTCAGACTTTTGGATTTTTAACAATTCTGTGTAATACTTCTGTATCTTAGTAAGAGAAATACAAACAAAAAAATGAGCAAAATGCTCCCAAGCTTGCATTGGCCTTTTCATTATTCCATGTTACCTCATATTCTAGAACTTGGTTTCAACTGGAAAGTTTACAGAGGTTACACAATATAAAGTGAGTGAATGAAGTGGGAGATTGAGACTATCATGAACTGGAAAGCATACACATCATCTACAAGAGAAATTGCGGTTTGGCTACCAAGTTTTGTGGGATTGTGGGGCTAGAATTTCCAGATTTCCAATATTCCAAAGAAGCCAGAACTCTTCTAGGTTTAAAGTATTTGAAGGGTGTTGTTGATGTACGCTTTTAGTAATAACAAGTAAGCATTTATTGTTTGTTTGTTCTTCTTGGTGTTAAATTTTGTGGCACTAACTCCTGAATCAGTACTTTATTCTGTAGATTGCATAATTCCAGGACTAATGAACTTCTCAGTGGTAGTGAGTAGTGTATGAGTCTGATATCTTGCTTTTTAAATAATTCTGCCAAAATTATTGAATATTTTGTTACTTGGTATCATACCTTTGCTTCCCCTGCTAAGGTACCAATTATGTGTTGAAGACCTAGGACATAGCCATTTATGTTAGGGGTATAGGATCAATATACTTAGCCCCGAACAGTCTTAACAATAACAACCTCTGAGGAAGGTATATCCTTGTTCGAGTATTATTGTGACCAAAAGTAAAAACAGTTACTTCTGTCAGACTCTTTTATTTAAAAGTGCTAATATAATATTTGAGAAAAAAAATTTTCAGTATTAAAGATCCTGATGGTTACTTGTGTATTATTATTTATTTATAAATATATTTAACCTACATATAAGTATATATAAATATATCAACCCTAGGTTGTAAAGAGTAAACATTTTATGTCTAATGGGAATCTAAATTTTACTTAAAATTTGTGAAGAAAATTATGATGTCTATGTTAAAATGTAGAGAGGTATGGCTTTGGAATTGAATTTTAATTTTAAAGCTTTTAGTCACTAGGCATAGGGTTGTGCAGTTTTTGAGCCTCTTGTTTCTTCCCCCCATCTGTAATATAAAGATATTGATCACGTTACCTCAAAGAGTTTTTGAAAGGTTTAAAATAAATCATAAATATCTGGGTGTGGTGGCTGACGCCTGTAATCCCAGGACTTTGGTAGGCTGAGGTGGTGAGACAGCTTGAACTCAGGAATGGAGACCAGCCTGGGCAACATGGCAAAACTCCATTTCTACAAAAAGTACAAAAATTAGTGGAGCTTGGTGGTGTGCACCTGTAGTTCCAGCTACTAAGGAGGCTGAGAAGGGAGGATGGCTTGAGCCTGGGAGGCAGAAATTGCAGTGAGCATGGATCACGTCACTGCACTGCAACCTGGGCAACATAGCCAGAAGCTGTCTCAAAAATAAAAATAAATAAATAAATGAATAATAAATGCAAAGTTTATAAGTGCCATGCCTGTGAAGTATTCAGCAAATGTCAAGTTAAAATTGTTATCCTTATTAGTAGCTGTGGAATAAAATGTAAAATTTGCATGACAGCTTGAGAAGCAAATGAATAATTCAAAGAAATTTCATGGGTATTTATTCTACCTGTTACTATGGCCATGCCCCACCTTTACCTCTGGACTTCACTCTACTGTCATTTTGGCTTGCTAGTGACCCAGGCAATGATTGCCTTTATCATATGTATATCATGTCAAGCATCTTTCTGTGAAGCTAGTTTGGGCATATATGGGATGCACAGAAAAAAAAATCTAGTTTGAATGGCTTCACTAATTCCCACTAGTCTACCTGATTCTGTACCATGTAAGAATTTGAGAAAATTGACTCTCTTCCTGGCAAAGGAAAATAAGAAATATTAAACTAAAACCCGAAACCAAACAAAAACAAAAACAATCTGCACCACATGACCATGTCTTGACTGTCATTTGAACCAAAGCCTGACTATGTGTTGGTGACAAGGTCTTTCAACCTTCCATATAATTAAATAATTTAAATGGTTTTTTATTTCCATAAGGTCTTTTAATTTTATTAAGCTAATTTGCATATTTTTGAGGGCCAGTGGGGCTGGGGAGAGGTTAATTCAAACAGAAGAATGACCAAAGGTACATAGACTGAAATTCAAAAATACTTCCCAAAGTCCCATTCATTAGTTTCATGTATTTACTATTTCTGTTCCCATTAGACAACTAGTTTTGAGTGAGTAATACATCTTTCCCATAAATGGTCTGTGTGTTCCCTCTTCTCCCATACTACCCAATGTCTTACATTGCATAAGGCACCGGACTCTTCCCTCTTCTTCCATACTACCCAATGTTTACATTGCATAAGGCACTGGACTCTTCCCTCTTCTCCCATACTACCCAATGTCTTACATTGCATAAGGCACTGGACTAACAAGAAGATATTGGACTACTGAGTTGTGCAAGGTTTCACTCCTAGCTAAGAGTAAGTGTTCCATTTCTTGCTTTAAACAATTTCATTTTTAAGAATGATCTCTTTTTCACATAGAAAGGAAGGATCATGAAATAATTCTGTTCATGCTAAAGTCCACAGAAACCAGTGAAGATTTCCACAGATGTCTCAACTCGAGCAGTGATTGCTCTTGTGCCCAGAGACAGAGACAGTTTGGGAGGCAGTTGATGTGCCTTACTGTAGAGTCCACAGGGCTGAGCTCCGGAGCAACTGCAAGCCCCCAAGAAAATTTCATTAGGCAGTCTGTGTGCACTCCTAGGAGGACAGGATGGCAGTCTGCCATAGCATCTGTGCTCATTTTCCACTGAGTCACTCTGATCTCTCCTAAACTCACCCGCTCTTCCCTAAATCCCACTTTTCAAAATATGTGGTATTCATAGGAGCACTCCCTGAGTGAAATAAAAAGGAATCTGAAAACTAAAAATAATAGATAATATGGTATGTTAATTGTCAGCCTACTCAATCTTATTGGGCTGTTCTCCACAGCTTTTAAATATATGTGTGAATATATATATATATATTTTTTTCTTTCTTTCCACCATCTGCTCCAGTCCACTGTGAGTAAGTCCTGCTGTGCTGCTCCTGTAAATCCGCCCATGCCAACTCTCTGACATTCTTTTAGATCCTTTGGCATAGCTCCTTTATTCCCCTCTCCAACACTCCTCTTCTATTTTGTGGCTTAGCATCACCAGCCTCCTATGAGATGGCCGGTCTTTTCAGGAGGTGCTGCTGGCAAAATCGGATAGCTATGCCAACAAGCTTGTTGTGTTGTTGAAAAATAGTAGGATTATCAGGTAAAAGAAAAAAATAAAAGCAAAACATAGAGAAGGGTTCAGAATAAAATTACAGACAAAATGAAAGTCAAATTTGAAATTTTACTAGTCATGCAAGGCGATAGAAAACCTTAGCTTGCATCAGCTTCTTCTGCAAAGCTTCCCATGTCTCTCGTCTCATAGACTCACATAGGGTGCCTCTTTGTTTTCTCCATTAGCATCTCTACGCACATATCTATCGTAATATTTGCCACACTGACCCATTCTTGGAGGTTTATTTACGTTTCTTTTATTAGAATAAAAGTATCCTGTGAGTAGAAACTCTCCTGTTCCTCATTGATGCCTGGCACATAACACATAATTAATATGTTTTTACAATGAAATAAATAATAGGAGATGTCTTAGTCTGTTTGTGCTGCTACAACAGAATACCTGAGATGGAGTAATTTTTAATGATCAGAAATGTATTGGCTTATGTTTCTGGAGGCTGGGAAGTTCAAGATCAAGAGACCGGCATCTTGCCCAGGTCTTCTTGCTGTGTCATCCTTTGGTGGAGATTGGAAGGGCAGAGAGAGTGCGAGAGAGGCAACAAAAAAATGTCAACCTCTCCCTTTTATTTCCAGCCTAATTGTGTGATAACAGTGTTAAACCCTTTACTCCATCTTCATGACCTAATCACCTCTCATTAGGCCCCACCTCCTAAGACTATTACTTTGGGGATTCAGTTTCCAACACATCCTTTTTTGGAGGACACATTCAAACCATAGCCAGCAACTATCTAACTCTTGTGTATTATGTGTGTAAGAAGAAAGAAATATCACACAGCTAACTTTATGTCAGATTTTAAAATTGTACTATGATGTAAACAAATTGTTAATAAACTTATGAGGCAAAATGCAGATAATTTTTTCATATTATACGTACTAAGCTGTAGCAAGAACATAAAAGCTCTGCTACCTGCCACTTAAACCTTTACTGAGAACTTAACACATTAAGATGTCTTTTCTTGATACAAAGAAAAGACACAGAAATAACCACAGATTTGATTTATTGACTCCAAAAACACTTACTATCGATTGAACCAAGGTGTTCACTGTTCTTGATTACTCTCACATTTGAATTTCTTACACTAAAAATTATCTATATTAGCTTTCAAGCTGTTTCATTTAGCTCAGATAGAGAGAAATGATAGGGTAGGTTTTATATATAATAAATCCCTAACTGATATTTAAATAAGTACAAAGCTGACCTATTTTCTTAAAAATAATTATGATTTTTAGTAACATAAAAAACCTGAAAACTATTTCAGAAATTACAAAGGATATACAAAGAAAAGTGAGACTTCTCTTAATCTCAGAAGTCTTTGTTCTCTTTTTAAAGGTATCCACTCGTTTTTTTTTTTTTTTTTTTTTTTTTTAGAGACGGAGTCTCACTCTTTTGCCCAGGCCGGACTGTAGTGGCGCTATCTCGGCTCACTGTAAGCTCCGCCTCCTGGGTTCATGCCATTCTCCTGCCTCAGCCTCCCTAAAGATATCCACTCTTTCCCATTTATTGTGTTTATTTTAGAAATGTTCTACATATTAAATCATGTATTTACATACAAAGCAATAGTTGTTATCTATTGCTGCACAACAAATTATCAAAAATTGGCAGCTTAAAACATCACACGTTCATTATTCCACAGTTCGTATGATTCACAAAAAAGTATATAAATGAAGAAAATTATCTAACACCAGAGATATAAATCATTTTGTACAGATATAACTCATCTGTACCTTTTGCTGCAGGGTCACTCGCAAGGCTACTGTCAATGTTGGCTAGGACTGGGGCTCATCTCAACGCTCGACTGGTAACGGATATGCTTCCAACCTCACATGTTTGTTGGCAGGATTTAATTTCGGTATGAGAACTCCAGTTTCTAGCTAGTAGTTTTCTGGAGGTCACCCTCAGTTCCTTGCCACATAGACCTCCCTGAGAAGACAATAGAGAGAGTCTGAGAGCAAGGCAGAAGTTCAAGTCTTTTGTAAATCTAATCATGAGCACACTATTTCCTCAACTCTGAGGTATTCTATTGGTTAGAAGCAAGTTACTTCATGAGTGGGATTTATATGAATCCATCAACACCAGGAAGAAAGAGTATTGGGAGCCATCCCCTAAGCTGCCTAACGAAGTCTGTACTTTGTTAGTACAGTAACTTACATGTACTATTACATGTTCATATTACTTCCACATGTAAAACACATTCCCCCAATTTCCAAAAGTTCTCAAGAGTACTAAGCTATTTAAAAATTTGCTCTAAGTCTAAAATGTCATCACTAAAATCAGGTTCAGGTATAGAGGTTGTAGGTTGTTAAGCAGACCTCCCAGAGCACAGTTCTTCTCTATCTGTGAACCCGTGAAACCAAAGAGACATGTTATCTTCCCCTACTCACCCCATCTACAATGGTAGGTAGGGCTGGGGTGTAGGATAGGAGCTGCAGACATTTCTATTAAAAATTGAGAGGTAAAAAAGTGTTCATAGGCTGGGTGTGGTGGCTCATGCCTGTAATCCCAGCACTTTGGGAAGCTGAGGTGGGCAGATCACCTGAGGTCAGGCGTTCAAGACCAGCTTGACCAACATGGTGAAACCCTGTCTCTACTAAAAATACGAAATTAGCTGGGTGTGGTGGCACATGCCTGTAATCCCAGTGACTCAGGAGGCTAAGGCAGGAGAATCTCTTGAACCCAGAAGGTGGAGGTTGCAGTGAGCTGAGATTGCACCATTGTACTCCAGCCTGGGCAACAGGAGCAAAACTCCGTCTCACCCACCCCCATCAAAAAAAGAGTTCATAGTAATTTTGAAATTTCACTAGGCAAAGGTTTGAAATTATTTGTTCCAAGGTCTGGGAATAATTCTCTGCGATCCTTGGCTCTGCCTTCTGGGCTCTTGATTTCTCCCTTAAATTACCCTCTTTTGTTTTTTTTTATGACAGGTAGAGTATGTTGCACTGACATGGGTTTCGCAGTATGCTTTTGACCAGTAAACATTCAGGGAAGTCCTAGAGTCTCTTTTCATTTTCTATTCTCTTTTCTCACTCAAACTATCCAAACTGGCAGTGTTTTGGTGATACAGTTTTCTCAAATATTTTTCAGGCTTCTGTGAATTTCACTGGGGTTCATTCTATCTGATGGAAGTCACACCTACAAATGTGTCTAGATAAACCCTTTTCTACCTTGGGCTTCTGCTGAGGTGGCTAGGGACAATGCCCTAACACTTTCTAGAAGGCCCATGATTTTGTTGAAGGGCTTCATTAAGCATACTCTTAACTTTTTTTTCATGACTTTTTGTGACTAAGTACTCTGATCCTTTATCTTTCCAAGGTTTTAACAAAAAGTTTGTCCATTCACATATTCAACTCTGTCTTTAGTCCAGGCCTTATCTCTAGAACAGATTTTTCTGACAGTGGTTGAAGGTAATTTCTTAATTTTAGCATCTTTTGCCATATGAAGAGTTGAGAACTTTAAAAATCATCAGCCCTAATTTCTTTTTCATTTAACAGTTCAATCCTCGATTTCTCTCCTCTTACCTTTTACCATAAGCAGCAGGAAGAAGTAGGGTGGCACCTTCAACACTTTGCTTAGAAATTGCCTTAGCTAAATGACTAGGTTTATGATATAAATATTCTGTTTTCCACATAATTGGGATGAAAACTTCGCCAAACTTTCTGCCACTTCATAATAAGGGTCCTTGTCCCTCTGGGTTTTGGTAACATGCCCCTCACTTTCGAGTCCTCATCAGCAGTATCCTCAAAGTTCACATTTTTACTAACAGCTTAGTCAAGGCAATTGAGGCTTTCTTTATGATTCTCCTTCAAATCTTTCCAGCCTCTTACCACTGCTCAGTTCCAAGGCTACTCTCACACTTTTCATAATAGTTATGGAAACATCCTGCTTCCAGGCAGCAAAATATGTATTAGTTAGCCATTGCTGCAGCTTAAGACAATGCATATTGATTATTGTATAGCATCTCTAGCCATGGTGTCCAGCCATGGCTTACCTGTGTTCTCTGCTTCTAGGGCTTTCATAAGGCTTCAATCAAGATGTTATCTAGGCCTGGGGTCTCTTCTCAACACTTCACTGCAGTCAAACCCCCTTCTAGGCTTTCATTACCAGCTGTGGGATTGAGGGCTTCAGTTCCTAGCTGGCTGTTAGCCAGAAGCTGCCCCTCAGTTCTTTGCCACATAGAGCTCTCCAAAGGGACCACCTACTATGCCAAAGCATGAAAGGCAGAGAGGCAATATAATCTGCTAGCAAGATAGAACTTACAATTATATGTGGCCTAATAATAGAAATGACATCCCATCTCATTTGTCATTTTCTATTTGTTAGAAGCAAGTCAAAGATCCCACCTACACGCAAGGGGTGTGAGTTACATAAGGGTTTGAGTACCAGGATGCAGGGATTGGTGGGGGGGGGGGGGGCAGGGAGGAGCATCTTATAATCTGCCTACCAGAAACACTGTACACCATTTTTCCCATTAAATAACATAATTTAAAAGTCGTTCCATATAAACATACGTAGAGATATCTCTTTCTTAAAATGTCTTCTTAATATCTTTATCTATGGCTAAGTCTTTTTATATATTATATACTTGATCAATGCCACTTTATTAAAAAAGTACAAAGTGACAAGAAACGTATGTGAAGCCTACTGATGTATAAATTTCATAACTTTATAATATGTAACTGAATAAATTACACTGAATTTATTCTACTTTATAGAGTTCTGATGGTCTGCTGAATATTAAAATCTTCTTAGAAATAAAGTAAAAAGGCCATTATTACTTTTCATTCATTGATTATATCTTTGCATCCAAAATTCAATTCAGCTACAGTGTATAAAATTGTAGTCTTAGGTTATTCTCTACTTCTTATGTACCTTACTAAAGGCTTAATTTACATGACCACAATGAAGTCAAACTCAAAAATGATATAAGAATATTAAGTGAAACGAACTCTTAGATAGTAATATTCTAAACATAGAGCTGGTTTCACTTACTGGTAAAGAGAATATGTAAAAGTTTCTCTAGAGCAAATATTTTCATCAACTATGACAGGCCAATAAAGGAAGCATTGCTCTTTGAATCCTCCCCTGACTCATTGCATTAGAAATCTGTTTCTATATCCCTTTTCCCCCTCAAGTAAATAACACTATGTTGTTGTTATCTGAGTTTTAGGTTCTAAAACTTTGTTTGACCATGTGTTTTATATGCATTCTTGTTAAGAGAAATAGAGAAAGATGGCACTCAATTGATCTCAAGACTCTCTTCATGAATATGGAAACAATATATATCTCACTTAAGGAAAAGGGAATTTACTGAATACCCATTATAATATTTCCTCACCCTGCTGTAGTAATAAAAACATATTTAGCAAAATATTACCTTTTTTGAAGAAAAATCAATCCCGTTAATTATTAAGGGATTGTTTAACACTCCCATAAATTTCCAAAAAAACTTTCAGGTTAATAGGACTTTATGATGTTACTTAGTATTTTTGATAATAAAACTACATTAGAGGCCTTTTATATTTCTATATTGTAAATGATTCTTTCTGTATTTCTACTCATAAACAAACAGGATTGATTTGGAATGTGACCACATCTGGTAAAGTCATACTTATAATAAAGTATTGACTTAAATTAACTCTCTGAGTAATATTAATAGTACTTTTTTCCTGTTAGCCTAACCCAAACTGTCAATATTTGTTAAGTGGAGTTGAAATTTATACTATTTTCTTCACAATGGCAGTGAAATACATACTTAATGAATTTGTCTTGGATAAACCATGTAATCAGGGCAAAGTGAAATTATTTAATAATACCTTATTTCCTCCTCTTATTTTGAACAATGTCTCTTTATTTCCTCAAAATTTCTGAACACAGACTCTTTTCCTAATTAAATGTGTATGTTGCTACTTCTTTGAACCCGTAAAACACAAAGCATATATGGACTTCGTGCTGGCTAAATTTTGAAATCATTTCCCTTTCCTGCAACTGGCTTTACCTGTTGTGAAAAAACACAGGTATTTTACCTGTTATATATTACCTGTTATAATAATTTTCTTCAGAAAGTACATTTTTATAGAGACATAGATTTTGGCATTTTAGCACATTAGATTTCAAAAGGAAATCTTGACTGTGCCATTTAGAATGTATTACCTTGAACTGTGGTCACAATAGCAAGTCTCTCAAACTTTAATTGCATGGACAATTCTATACTATACTGGTAGAGCACGTGTATTTATGACTCAGAACTAGATTCAGTCATGCCTTGAGCAAATTCCTTACCTTCTGTGGTGCTCTCAGTTTATATCCACACATTGATATGACTTTCTAAAGAATGAAAATAACCAAGAATATCATACCTAACACTTAATAAACACTCATGCCTGTAATCCCAGCACTTTAGGAGGCTGAGGCGGGTGGATCACTTGAGGTCAGGAGTTCGAGACGAGTCTGGCCAACGTGGTGAAACCCCATCTATACTACAAATATAAAAATTAGCCTGGAGCGGTGGCACACACCTGTAGTCCCAGCTACTTGGGAGGTTGAGGCAGGAGTATCGCTTGAACCTGGGAGGCAGAGGTTGCAGTGAGCCAAGATCGGACTACTGCACTCCAGCCTGGGCAACAGAGCAAGACTCCATCTCAAAAACAAACAAACAAACAAAAAACACTCATTAAGTGTTAGGTATCATTAATAACAGTAATAAAACATGTCAAATATATAACATATCTAACTTATTTATCAGTCTCTTTTAAATTTCTAATTTTGTGCTTTGAGGTTGTGAAGCACCTACTCCACAAAAATAGAATTTCTAAACTCAACTCATGACATATAATAACTAACTAAATATTATGTTGCATTCAGTTGATATAGAATATAATCTTAATAAATAATCTTTAAAATATTTGTAAAAATTATTTATGTTTTAAAGAGAGTTTTATTTGATTTTTGCCTGCTAATAAAATAGCAGGCAAAATAGCTAATAACAGGAAGTTACTCTGAATTTTTTTCATTGTATTTTAATGTATACATTTTTTTGTCTGCCCAGTTGATTTACCTAAAACTTGTGGGTTTTCTCCTCTAAGAATTACCATAAAGTAAGAATGGAAGACATAGAAATATAATCCCAGTCTGAGGACAGACTAATTACCACTCCAATATTTTTGCAGGAGACAGACTTGTAGCTGTATTTAAATTTCTCCTCTTTATCCAGTGTGTGGGTGTTTCGAAACGCTATTGTGTTCACGTCTGTTCATAATCCAAGGATGGAAGACTCTAAACAAGCTATCTTGTGTGTGGTTGCTTCTAAACAGTTTTATTAATCATTTCCCAGTTTTTCAATAGAATAATTGCCATTGCATTTCAAGCAATCCTCTTTTTTTCCTTCTCTTTCTCTCTGTCTTTTTAAAAATATATTCTGGGCCATTTTTGGCCCATGATAGAATATAGATTAACTTTGCCATTATTTAGCTATTATCCTGCTCACTATTTTTTTTTTAATTTTTCAGAAATGAACTTTAATGCTAAGAAGCCTGGGGGTAGCTACTGGTTTTGTTAGTAATTATCAGCAACTACAAAAGTAGAAGATGCATATATTAGCACTTATTATATGCTAGCACTGTTCTAAGCACTTTGGATATATTAGTATACCTAATCCTTGTAAGAACTCTATGACATAAGTACTAAGATTATAATGCTGATTTTATAAGTGAGGACATTGAGTCACAGTATTTTGTTTATTATGTTCTAATTATATCTTACATGGAAACGGTAATGTATTTTACAAGTGTTATAAGCTGGAATGTGTTCATATGCTCATTTCAGGTAATTGCTCTAATTTCACTCTGCCTATCTAAGAGATGGGCCGGCAAACTTTTGAAGCAAAATAGCAAATATTTTAAGCTTTGCTGGCCATATAACCTCTGTTACAATGAATAAACTCTGTCATTGAAAATATATAAATGAATGGTGGATGTGGCTGTGTTCCAATAAAACTTTATTTACGAGTGGGACAGATTGACCAATTTCAGATCCAGAGTATTTTTTAAATCCATAACATATTTACTTAGTCCTTAGCTGAAAAAAAAAAGTACTGAGATCCTACTTTGTACGATATACAGATTCATTTTCCTTGGAGGACATTTTAGCAACCCTTAAAAGGGAGTGAACATTTTAAGAACCCTTACAAGGGAGAGCCTTGCATAAAAAATAAAAGATGCCTGTCAACTTTTAAGTTTAGTGTTTTTGCTAAATGTATCCCTAACTCCAAGTAAATGTAATTAAAAAATGAATTCAGTGTTTCATCAATTCTAAGATGCACACATTTTATAAATCAATACCTGTGAAATCAGAATGTGTCTTACAATGTATAGCATCTCAGCTTTGAGGAAATACAGAATTAGCTCTTTTTGTTATGTTTTATTTTCAATAACTTTTAGTAAAAAAACCCACCAGAGATACCACCTGTAATTGAGTTGTGTTTATTAGTCATTTCAGGGAGGGAGAAGGCACACGTGGTTAAAACAATGTTGAAAATGACTTGTAGGATTTAAGCTTGTTTCAGCAGATGTGGGGTAGGGTTTAAAACAGTGGAGATTTGTTCTGCATTGGATGCTGTCCGGATGTACGGGTAATTTTATGACTGGGTATGTTATAAATGCTATGTAGAACATGGGAAGTACAGACCAAGGCTAAGCTGTAGTGGTAAAAGGGTAGCTAGTCACTCACGCTATCCAGGATAGGGTGATATTTGGTCATTTTTGTGGCTTGGACAAAGTTTTTATCTTGTCTGTGTTCAGACATGATTACAGAGTGATTGTGGTTTTTGTCTCAATTCATCAAGGTCTCAAAGTGGCCTTGTCTGACGTTGACGTTCAACAGCTGTCTCTAAGACCTCCCTGTCAGTGCCAGGCCAGCCTCTGGATGTCAGGAGCTGGTGTTCTCTGTCTAAATATGGTGTTAGGTTAATCAACTTATAATGTGCCTATAAACTTCTAGGTGGTATAAAAAGCTGTACTTGTAGCTTTTATTCTTAAAAAGTAAGGTTACTTGAAGTAATTAAGTTTGAATTATAATGCCTAGTACGGTGTCCTGGTTACAGCAGGTGATCAGTAAACTACTATTACGTGAGTTAATTCCATTCGTAAGGCAGAGTTTTTCAACTGAATATTGATGACAATTCTAAATAAAATGTATAGGAAATGAATGGCACATAAATATTCATAAAGTAGTTGGATGCGTCTGACAGAACTTTTAAACATTAGACTGATGAGCTTCTCTTACTTCAGTAAAACACAGGACATTTTTCAATCCATTTTCTCACTCTCTCCTAAGATAATGCTACCTCTAAAGCAAACCAAATGATTTACAACTAGGCCAAAGGAGCTCCCAAACATAAGATTGCCTTTGAGACACATGTAAACTGTTCACCCTGAAGGACAAAATAAAAATCTAAAAAAGAGTCCAATAACCATACATTTTAATACTTCTCACTGGAAAATTATTGAGAAATTTATTGTGGTACTTTATCCTCTCTCTGTCTCAGAAATTATAGCTTTACATTTTAAAGGCCTGAAAGAGCTATTCCCATGACTTAGAATAGCAGGTGAAGGAACAAAGTTAGAAGAAACAGAGTAAACAGGGTACATGAAATCATAGGTAATGTGAATGGTCTGCACTAATAACGGTTGTTGAAGCCATTCAAATTCCTGGACTCAATTTATAGTTAAATGCATCATTCTTTTCCAACAATTCTTAAAATGTCATCTTTTTCACAGCAACATTATTCTCATAAATAAAATGAAAAGAATCTTGTTCTGAAAGTGTCATTTTTTAACACTTACCAAGAGCAGAGAGTTGCAAAAGTGTATTTCCTTACATAAGTGGGGAATCATGAAATCATCTAAGCAATAAGTTTTCTGAGAAAGTTTCTAGAAAGGGCTGTGTGGATCTTGTTAGGATGAAGTATCATTCTGATTTATAGAATCGCTAAAGCACTCCTTATTAAACTGTCACTCAGAGGCTACACAGTAGAAAAAGCTATTATTGATTTAATTAGGTCTTTGGAGTTTTGTGGTTTAATAGGAACAGTTGCCTGCACGTGGGCAAGAATGCACATTATTGATATTTTAAAGTGACTAAATTTAAAGGTGATGGCATAGTGAAAGTAGAACATTTCTCTTTTCTTGGCTGTAGTCATGGTTTATAGCTGATACCTCTAATTGTGGAACATGGCTCTTTAAAATTTAGTTTCATTAGGTGTTTCAGTGTGGCACAGACTGAACAAGACAGGACTGGAAAATAGTTATAAATAATACAATAGGAAGACATGTACTTATTTGAGCACAAGGAAATGAAGTTAATAGAGTACAAAGCTCTGTTTCAAAAAATATGTTCTCTCTTCTATCATAAATTCCTTCTGGGTGGATATTTTTTGAATATAAGAGTTTAGTATGATCCCTCAGGAAGTTTATTTTAAAGCAATAAGAATTCATTTTTTAAAGATAATACGCATTGGCCAGTTCAATAACAAAAATGTATCCTATAGGCTCCAAGATAAGACTACTTCATGTGAAATTCCAAGTTGTTATAACGTGAAACATTTAGGGATAAAGGAGAGTGCCTGCCCTGACTGCTTTCATTTTGGGCAAGATCCTTTCCAGCTCTAATTCTGCCATTATTTCTGAGAACACTTTTTGGGAAGAGATGAGCCAACAGAATGTAGAGGTTTAGGAATTTAGGCATAATTTCCTCCTTCCTGCAAAGAGGTGCTAGGATGGTGTATCTCTCTATAAGACATGGGGGCTGAGGTGGAGACGAGTTCTTATTCTGAGCACAAAATTATCTAGAAAGCTACACTAAAGATCTTATTCCATGACACCACATTCAATATTGTCTTTGAATGTAAGGAAGAACCACCTCTATCAGACAGGTCAGTGATTAAAGATTTTTTTGGTAAACGTATCCTTGTATGATCTATGGAAACTTGTTGAATCTCTTAAGATTGGCATAGCACTTCTGTGCTGTCCACATTTAAACTGCATTGATTAATCTACAGAATCAGGGATCTATACCAACCAGCAAACTCTCTCTAATGTGATTCTTCATGTAAGTAGCTTGAATAAACCTTCCTAGCTTTGTGATCCAATTTTGACCAAATAAGTTTTGGAAAACCTATAAAACGGCCATTTCCTTCATGTTAAATTCTTTGGTGATTTTCGTGAGAGTGTAAATTGATATAACCACCACGGAAACTATATGGAAATATCTACCAAGGCAAAATGAACATATATCATATGACCCACATTCCTAGGCATATATTCAATAGAAAAGCATACATATGTTCAATAAAAATTATGAGCAACAATGTTTATAGCAGCTGTATCTTCATAGTCTCTGTATTAGCTTGCTTGGGCTGTGGTAACAAAGTACCACAGACTGGATGACTTAAACAACAGAAACCTATTGTCTCACAGTTTCGGAGGCTGGAGTCTGACAGCAAGGTGTCAGCAGGGCTGGTTCTTTCTGAGGTCTGTGAGGAAGAATCTGTTCCGTGCCTCCCCACTAGCTTCTGGTTTGTTTCATCTTTACATAGCATTCTACTTGTATAGATGCCTGTTGGATAGCCCATGTTAATGACCTTAGTTCAGCTTGATTAGCTCTATAAAGAGCTCATTTCCAAATAAAGTCACATTCTGAAGTACTGGGGGTTAAGACTTTACCATATAAAACTTGAAGGTATACAGCTCAACCCATAACAGTCCCTAAATAAAAATGGCCTAAATGTCCATAAACATTGAATAGATTCATAAAATGCAGTACATTCCAAAATAGGAAGACATGCTATATAGAAATGAGAATACAGACATATCGACACATGAATCAACGTGGATGAATCTCAGAATCACAGTGTAGAGCAAAAGCAGCCAGAAATTTATATACTGAATGACATATAGAAGAATAAATACTGAATGAATTAATGCATATCAAGTTTCAAAATAGTGGCTACCTTTCAGGGATGGGAGCAGCAGAAACTGGAGAGGACTAAAGAGTAGTCACTGGTATGTTCTAATTCTTCATTTAAAAATGGGCATGTTGATGGATTCACCTTGTTTTAATTGACTAAGCTGTACACCCACGATTTGTATACTATTTTTAATTTTAAAAGACATAATATAAAAAATTCTAAGGCACAAAAGAAAGAGATAAGAATATGACACCTGTAACGAAGATACCAAACATGACTCCAATCAATCCCAATGAAAATTTCCCAATTGACAAAATTACTTATAATTTAATGGAAAATAAATGCTTTAATAAATATGTAAAAGTAATCATGTTGAAGCCCAGAGGTTGTAGCAACAAACTCGTTTGTTAGAAGAATATAAGCAAACTTCGAAGAAAATCTGATTTAAGAGCAGATTTTTTTATGGATGAGCAAAAGTGCTACAGGCGAAAAGTAGAAGTATTTTAGAATTTTGGATTGGCAGAAATTCATAACAAGACTTGGACAAGGTGTGATCAGGAGTTACTAGGAGAGTCAATGTGACTGAATGATGAAGGGAAAAGTTTCAGTGTAGCTGGGTTATTTGTCCAGCTGAGAATTTATGGAGCCCAGAGGTTGGAATGCTTTTCTATGTTCTTTTTTGATTGTTGACTCCTTTAACATGGTTTCTGTAAGTTAGACTTTTTTTGATGCCTCCCTAAATATCCCCATCTTATGACTGACAACGTACTGAATCACACAACAAGTATTTCATCTATTCAAGAAATATAGTGTGCAGTGTGGCTAACAGAGTTAGCTTGAAGTTTAGCTTCTGGGTATATAGGCAACATTTAAGGAAACATCTACTAATATTTAAAACATTAGAAAAAATATTTATTTAAAAATGTCTTAAAATCCATGGTTGAGCTAAATTTAAAATAAGAGAAGGAATCAGAGGTAAAGAATACAGTACAAGACAACACTACAGAGGTTAGGATCTGCCCAGCGAATATCCTGAGTGCATTTGGAAATCCAGAGTGTTCTGGTACCTGAGTGTTAAGGGTTGCTTAAGTGTGAGAGAGGAGATAAACCACCTGACTTAAACAAGGTGGAAGCTCAAATTAGAGATCCCTGGTGTAACACTGAGACAGCAAAGGATCGTACCTCCTTCCTATTTGAGTTTGTTAAAAATTAAAAAATGAATAAATAAAAATAAAGGCAAGCAAGGGAACTAAAAAGCATGCTACAGAAAATAATTTTCCTTTTCCAGCCATGGCTTTACAGGAGGAAAAATCTGACTTAGAAAAAGCCTTAGGAAGTTAGAGGACCAGGGCCATTGTTTACACTACCTATTGGGACCCTGAACTGAATTTGAGATTTTCATGAGATATGTTCAGAATTTCTAGTGCTGCTAGGCATCTGACTAAAACAAACACAAGTCATCTCTGGTGCATTGCAATTCAAGCATAGGAAGGCCTCAAAGGTTTTTCAAAAGTCCAAGAAAAAGTAAGTCAAAGAATAAAGTCAAAGAAAAGTAAGTCCAAAGTAAAAAATCACTGAAAACATTAGGAAACAAAATACAATGCAAGTGAGTCAACAGAAAAAAAAAAATCAGCAAAATCATTCTTGAAAGGCTTGCACATGTTAGAATTATTGAAGAAAATATAAAATGTTATTTTTAACATATCTAAATACATAAAGAACAGAGTTGAAAACATGAGAAAAATGAAAGCTTATCAAAACTGATGAAGCAAATTTGTGAAACTACTAGTATGAACTTTCAGAGCTAAAATAATAATTGAAATTAAAAAATTAATTGAAGTAGGCTGGGTGTGGTGGCTCATGCCTGTAATCCCAGCACTTGGGGAGGCCGAGGCGTGACGATCGTGAGGTCAGGAGTTTGAGACCAGCCTGGCCAACATGGTGAAACCCTGTCTCTACTGAAAATACAAAAATTAGCCAGGCGTGGTGGCGTATGCCTGTAATCCCAGCTACTCAGGAGGCTGAGGCAGGAGAATCGTTTGAAACCGGGAGGCAGAGGCTGCAGTGAGCTGAGATCACGCCACTGTACTCCAGCCTGGGTGACAGAGCAAGACTCCATCTCAAAAAAAAAAAAAAAAAAAAAAACAAGAAAAAACAAAATTAATTGAAGTAGTGAACATCAGAATAGATGTAGCTCAAGAAAAAATTGACAACTTGGGAAATGTATCTGAAGAAATAAGAATTCAGCACAGAGAGAAAAATAAAATATATAATGATATTAATATAAAAATATGTAAATAATATAAAGGAGATTGTATACATATATAGTATAAGGTAATAATGATGAAAAGTTATTTAATCAGAAATCTAGAAGCAGGTATTGGGAAACAGAAGTAATAGTCAAAAATATATTTCTAGAATTGATTAAAAAAATCAATCCTCCAAATAATTGGAGGAAGGCTAATGAATAACAAAGGTATAGTACTTTAAAAGAAATAAAACTGAAACACGCTGAACATAAATGGAAGACTTTAAAATCACTTAAAAATAAAAGACAGTTTTTTTTCAACAAATAAATGATTACTTGACAGAGCAATAATGGAAGCAAAGGACATTAAAATAAGTGATTCAAAATTTGAGAGAAAGCATACAGATTCAGCTAGAATGACATCTGGCAACATTACCTCTCAAAAACAAGGACAAAATGATGGCAATATTAAACAAGTAAAACTTGAATATTTTATTATCTACGCTATCTTCAAAAAATTCTAAAGAGTGAACTTCAGAAAGAAGAAAAATGATTCTAAAAGGAAAATGTAAGGTGAAAAAAATGATAAAATGTATTTGCATCTAAATCTACTCAAATATTCTCCATAAGGCAATAAAAAACACTTGATATTCATGGGGTTGAAAGATAAAGATAGAATAAAATTCCTAGAGAATATGACGCATGCCTCACATAAGCGAAGGTGGCCCTAGCTCTTTCGAAGTTCTCCAGTTGTTTTCTTCAACTGTCTACAGTATCCACTAAAGATTAGATATATAGTGTACAATTTTCAAAATAGTAAAGACTAAGCTGAAAAGAGAGAAAAAAGTGATTACACAGGCAAAAAAAAAAAAGAGAGAGAAAAACACGGGAAAAGTTTGACAATTTAAATACACAAAAATGTTATGTGTTGTTTACAAAAGCTATAGTTAAAACATAAAGACCTAGAAAGTCTAAAAGTAAAAATATTAGTTCATTTTATTCCATGTGCATTCTACTTAACATGACTGTATCAGTGTCTGTAAAAATAGACTGAAAGGCAAAAGCATTGTCCATATAAACCATAATCATGTACTAAGAGAAGGCTTAGTTCATCAGAAAGCTCTAACCATTCTTCGGTATACAGTTAGTAACATGACTTTCAGACTTAGGAAGCAACATTGACAGAATAAGAAGAAAAATGAATAAACCCGCAACCAAGATGAAGATTTTGATTTAGTAATCCCAGTTATTGTTGGGTCGAGCACAGAGAAACTCATTGTGTATCAGGAGACTTTTTTAACATTATAGCAAGCTTGATAGAATAAGCATATATACAATACTTCATTGAATAACTGGAGAACGCACATTTATATACAATCACTTTCAGACATCTGAAAAACAAGGAATACTGCCTAACTCATTTTTATAAAACATTATTCTTTTACCAAAACCAAAAAAGGACTTCAGAAGAAAGAAAAATTGTTAATAAATATTAATAAGTCATGAATGTAGAGGCAAAATAATAAATAAAAATGATAAAGTTGCTCTGAAAAACAGTGTGGAGTTTACTCAAAAGAATTAAACGTAGGACTGCCATATGATCCAGCGATTCCACTCATCGGTGTATACAAAAAAGAATTGAAAGCAGAGACTCAAACGGATATTCTTTGTATACAGTAGTCCCCCCTTATCCACAGGAGATACCTTCCCAGACCCTTAGTAGATGCCTGAAATCACAGAAGTACCAAACCCTAAGAACACTATGCTTTTTCCTACACATATACATCTATGGGAAAGTTTAACTTATAAATTAGACATAGTAAGAGATTAACAACAACAATAATAAAATAGAACAATTATAACTACCCTTGTTTTTCTTTCCTTTTTTTTTTTTTTTTTTTTTTTTGAGACCGAGTCTCGCTCTGTCCCCCAGGCTGGAGTGCAGTGGCGCGATCTCAGCTCACTGCAAGCTCCGCCTCCCGGGTTCACGCCATTCTCCTGCCTCAGCCTCCCGAGTAGCTGGGACAACAGGCGCCCGCCACCACGCCTGGCTAGTTTTTTGTATTTTTAGTGGAGACGGGGTTTCACCATGTTAGCCAGGATGGTCCCGATCTCCTGACCTCGTGATCCGCCCGCCTCGGCCTCCCAAAGTGCTGGGACGACAGGCGTGAGCCACCGCGCCCGGCCCACTACGCTTGTGTTTTAAAGCCAGTATGTAGTAAAATAACGGTGACTTGAACACAAGCACTGCCATACCACGACAGTAGATCTGAGAACCGAGATGGCTACTAAGTGACTGATGAGTGTGAAGGGTCTACAACGTGAACACGCTGGACAATGGAGAATTCGCGTCTCAGGTGGAACACAGCGGGACAGCAAGAGATCTCATCACACTACTTAGAATAATGTGCAATTTAAAACTTATAAGTTGTTGTTTCTGGGATTTTCCATTCAATATTTTCATACCACGCTTGACTGAGGGTAACTGAAACCTTGGAAAGTGAAAGCATGGATGAGGGGCGACTACTGTACCCATGTTCATAGCCACATTATGCATAATAGCAAAAAGGCGGACGCCACCCAGTGTTCGCTGGTGGAGGAATGGATTAAAAACAATGTGGCACATACACACAATGGAACATTATCCAGCCACAAAATGGAAAGAAATTCTGTCACATGCTACAACATGGATGAACCTTGAAGACATTATGCTGAGTGAAATCAGCCAGTCACAAAAGACGAATACTATATAATTCTACTTATATAAGGTACCTAGAGTAGTCACATTCATAGAGACAGAAAGAAGAATGGTGGCTTCCAGGAGCTTGGAGGAGGTAGGAATGAGAAGTTACTGTTTGATATGTATAGAGTTTCAGTCTGGAAAGACAAAAACACTCTAAAGATGAATGGCATTGATGGTTGTATGACAATGTGCCTGTACTTTATGCCACTAAACTGTACACTTAAAATGATTAAAATTGTAAATTTTCTGTCGTATATATTTTAACATGATAAAAAATCATAAACAAATATTTGCTAAATGAATTCAGCAGTGTATAAAAAGTAATATGTCATAGTAAAGCTGGGTTTATCTCTAGAATGCAAGATGATTTAATTTAATGCTGAGAAATCTGTACCTTTTAACAGATTGAGAGAAAAATATCAAGAGATGCAAAAACTACTTTCAAAATCGAATTCTTCAGCATTGGAAAAAAATTTATGAATAAAAATAAGGAAAAAGAACTTCATTAGCTTAATAAAACATATCTTTAGAAGATTGTAGAGGAAACCACCACATCATCCTAAATGAAAACTTGTTAGAAGTAATTTTTACAAAAATCAGTGGCAAACATGATAAGTATCATTACTTCTGCCCATCAATATATTGGAGGTCCTGGCCAGCATATGCAGACAAAAAGTAATCAATGAACAAACAGATAAATAGATACATAAAAGTAAATATACAGAAGACAGGAATCAGAACAAAGAACATGATATAATCACTACATTAGAAAACCCAAAATAATTGGCAGGCAAATTCACTGAAATAATAAGGAGATATTAATGATTTTGATGGACGCAAGGCTAATGATCAGAAGTCAATGACACCTATGTACCACTAGCAAACGACTGAAGTATGAAAAGACACAACTTACGATTTTATATACATAAGCAAATGTTAAGTATCTAGCAGTTAATTTGGCAAAAGAGGTGTAAGACTTCTACACAGAAAATTTCACATCTTTATGTAAAGATACAGAGATTTGCAATATCTGGATAAAAAGAATCAATGTTCTACAGATTTCAAATTTCCCATTTTAATCTATAGATTCAATACAATTATAATCACAATTTAAACAAATTTTTATAAAACATGATAATATGGTTCTAGGAAACTAAATTGGTAAAGTGAAAGAGGAATCAGTAGTAGGAAAGTGAAAGGATAATCCTACCAGATATTCAGATTTATTCTGAGACTGTCATGAGTAAGTAAAGATGGTATTATCACAAATATATACAAATTGATAAATGGGTTAGAACAGAGAACACAGAAACAGGCTTACACATGTAGAAAACTTTGGTCAATGCTATGGATTTCATATTAATTAGTGAGGGAAGGAGAGACTGTTCAATAAACAGGACTGAAAAAAAGGTTTTCAATATGAGAAATGTTGAATTGGGTCTGTATTAACCACCATATTACAAAATTATCCATAAATATAGTAAAGACTTAATTGTCCAAGTAAAATGTTAAAATTCTTATAGAAAACAAATATGACAATCTTACAAATTGAATTACAGATAGATCTGTTAAGACACAAAGCGAATAAAAAATTAATGTAGCTTATTAAAATTACAAGTTTTTTCCTCAAAACACACCTTAAAGATGAGAAAATATGTTAGAAACTGAGATAACATATTTTCAGTGCACACGGCTGGTAAATGATTGGTATCAAGAACATGTTTAAAAGATATGTATATATAAATCAATCAGAAAAGTACAAACATCTTAGTAGGAAAATGAGTAACAAACATTTTCAGTGAACTGGAAACACATTTTACCCATACATCTGGAGAGAGTTGTTCAATATCATTATTAATTCAAGAAATGCAAAACATGATAATAAAGAGTTACAGTTTTAAATTTGAATAACAAATTAATTTGAAACGTGTAGCTTTACCAAGAATTGGAGAAAGTGATGACCCATAGAACTGCTGTCATGTTGAATGTGGAAATAAAATTTAGCATTATTTTGTAAAGTTGAAAATTTATTCACCTTATGATGCAATTATGTACTCTAAGGCTACCCTATGACATAAAAGAAAGTTAACCCCAGAAAACATGACAGTTACAAATATCTGACAACCATACAAATGTTCATCAATGAGAGAATGGATTAAAAAACTGTTATAGTCACACAGTGAATATTACATAACCATCAAAATGGACGAATAAGTGTAACATATAATATTAAGAATGAATCTTTGCAGTATAAGATGCAAAACAAATTCCAAAACATTATACAGGCACACCTTGCTTTATTGTGCTTTACTTTATTGTACTTCCAAGATGTTTGGCTCTTTACAAACTGAAAGTGTGTGGCAACTCTGAATCAAACAAGTCAATTTCAAACTTTTTCATTATTATTGTATCTGTTATGGTGATCTGTGATCCGTGCTTTTTGATGTTACCATTGTAACTTTGGGAGGTGCCACAAATCACACCCACAAGAGGCGGTGAACTTAATCGATAAATGTATGTGTTCTGACTGCTCCACCAACCTGTTCTTCCAACTCTCTGCCTCTCCTTGGGCCTCCATATTTCCTAAGACTCAACAATATTGAAATTAGGCCAATTATTAACCCTACAATCATCTCTTAGAGTTCAAGTGAGAAGAAGAATCACACATCTCTCAGTTTAAATCTAAAGCTAGAAATGATTAACTTTAGTGAGAACAGTATATTGAAAGTTGACATAGGTCAAAAGCTAGGGCTCTGGCACCAGTTAGCCAAGTTGTGAAGGTGAAGGAAAAGTTCTTAAAGGAAATTAAAAATGCTTCTCCATTGAACACATGAATGATAAGAAAGCGAAACAGCCTTATTGCTGATGAGGAGAAAGTTTTAGTGGTCTGGATAGAAGATCAAATCTGCCACAACATTCCCTCAAGCCTAATCCAGAGCAAAGCCCTGAACCTCTTCAATTCTGTGAAGACTGAGAGAGGTGCAGAAGAAAAGTTTGAAGCTAGCAGAAGTTGTTTCATGAGGTTTATGGAATGAAGCCATCTCCATAAAAGTGCAAGATGAAGAAGCAAATGCTAATGCAGAAGCTGCAGCAAATTTTCCAGAAGATCTAGCTAAGAGAATTGATGAAGGTAGCTACACTAAAGAATTGATGAAAGTGCCATGCAGGACTTTGACAGTTAGAGAGGAGAAGTCAATGCCTGGCTTCAGAGCTTCAAAGGACAGGCTGACTCTCTTGTTAGAGGGTAATGCAGCTGGTGACTGTCAGTTGAAGCCAACACTCACTGGTCATTCTGAAAATCCCAGGGCCCTGAAGAAGTATGCTAAGTCAACTCTGTCTGTGCTCTATAAATAGAACAAGAAAGCCTGCATAATAGCACATCTGTTTACAGCCTAATTTACCGAATATTTTAAGATCACTTTTGAGACTTACTGTTCAGAAAAAAAAAGATTCTTTTCAAAATATTACTGCTCATTGACCTTACTACCCAAGAACTCTGATGGAGATGTACAAGGAAATAAATGTTGTTATCATGCCTGCTAACACAGCTTCCATTCTGTAGCACATAAATCAAGCAGTAATTTTCACTTTCAAGTCTTCCTATTTAAGAAATAAGTTTCCTAATGGTATTGTTGTCATAGATAATGATTTTTCTGATGGATTTGGGCAAAACCAATTGAAACCTTCTTGAAAGAATTGATGATTCTAGATGCCATTAAGAACATTTGTAATTTATGGAAGGAGGTCAAAATATCAACATTAACAGAAGTTTGGAAGAAGTCGATTCCAATCCTCATGGATGACTTTAAGAGATTCAAGACTTCAGTGGAGGAAGTAACTGCAGATGTGGAAGAAATAACAAGATAACTTGAACTAAAATTGGAAGCTGTATTGTTGTTATCTCATGATAAAACTAAGGAACATGAAGTTGCTGCTTATAGACAAGCAAAGAAAGTGCTTTCTTGAGATGGTGACTGTCGGTGAAGTTGTTTTGAACATTATTAAAACAGTCACAAAGGATTTAGAATATTATATCAACTAAGTTAATAAAGCAGCAGCAGGATTTGAGAGGATTGACTCCAATTTTGAAAGTAATTCTCCTGCAGGCAAAAATGCTATTAAGAAAAATCTTTCCTCGGAGTCAATCGATGAGGTGAATGTCAGTGATGTCTTATTTTAAGAAATTGCCAGCCAGGTGCAGTGGCTCACGCCTGTAATCCCAGCACTTTAGGAGGCCAAGGCGGGTAGATTACCTGAGGTCAGGAGTTTGAGACCAGCTGGCCAACATGGTGAAACCCTGTCTCTACTAAAACTACAAAAAGTAGCCAGGTGTGGTGGTGATCGCCTGTAATCCCAGCACTTTGGGAGGCTGAGGTGGGTGGATCACCTGAGGTCAGGAGTTGGAGACCTTGGCCAACATGGTGAAGCCCTGTCTCTACTAAAATCACAAAAATTAGCCGGGCATGGTAGTGGGTGCCTGTAATCCCAGCTTCTCTGGAGGCTGAGGCAGGAGAATCACTTGAACCTGGGAGGTGGAGGTTGCAGTGAGGGAGATCGTGCCACTGCCCTCCAGCCTGGGTGACAGAGCAAGGCAGTCTCAAAAAAGAGAAAGAAAGAAAGAAAGAAAGAAAGAAAGAAAGAAAGAAAGAAAGAAAGAAAAAGAAAGAAAGAAAGAAAGAAAGAAAGAAAGAAAGAAAGAAAGAAAGAAAGAAAGAAAGAAAGAGAAAGAAAGAGAAAGAAAGAAGGAAGAAAGAAAGAACGAAAGAAAGAAAGAAAGAAAGAAAGAAAGAAAGAAAGAAAGAAAGAAAGAAAGAAAGAAAGAAAGAAAGAAATTGCCACAGCCATCCTCAGCTTTCAGCAACCACTATTCTAATCGGTCAGCAGCCAACAACATTGAGACAAAGTCTCCACTCGCAAAAACATCAGGACTCTATGAAGGCCTGTTTTTTTTAGCAATAAAGTACTTTTAGTTAAAAATATTGGATTAAATTAAGTTGCACATTTTGGGGGGCATAATGCTATTGTATACTCAATAGAATACTTCCAGTATAATATAAACATAACTTTTATAGATACTGAGGAACCAAAAAATTTGTTTGATGTAGCTTATTGAAATGTTCATTGAAATTTTTGAGTTGGTATGATGCTGAACCCACAATATCTTCAAGGTGTGCCTGTATACATCAAATACCCTGTTTACATAGTTAAAAACTATATAAAACCTAAAATTAATATGTGAATATATATGTATTCACACACAAATTCTTTTTCAGGATATACATATATATATGTATATATATATATATACACACACACACACACACATATATATGTATACACACATTTGAAAGCGAAGAAGAGATGAACATAGAATTTAAGATAAAATTTAGCTCAAATGTCGGTGAGGCAAGTGAGGAGATAGGGCGAATAAATATTTGTACAGGATGTTATTAAGGTCCCAGCTTTTACTATGGATGATGATTTCATGGGTACATGATACATTACATATAAAACAACTAAACTAGATGAGAAACTAAAGTGGACCAATAATGAGAGTGTGTCATTATGTTAATGTTGAACCTTTATTTATATGTATAGGTTACCATAATATTGACCTTCAAGGAAATATTTTGTTAATGTGTCTATCTTAAAATTAAGATATTTTGTTCATTAAAGGTAACCTTAAAAAAGGTACAAAGATAAATTATATAGATAATATATGTGCTCTCAGTTTTCCTTTTCTTATAAATATAGGAAAACATAAATTAAAACAAAGCAATGATTGCCCTAAATTCAGATTAGTGGTTAACTCTAAGCCTGAGAGAGGACAATGCAATAGGGAAGACTAGATGGAAGATTTAAAGCAACTAGTAATTAAGCTTACCAGTATTAAGCTTACAGATGAATATATGACTGCTCTTTTTTTATTAAATTGCTGTTACATACAATATTTTGAAAGTTTGATGTGTTAATATACATAGGCTTTGGGCCAAACTACCTGGAATCATTAATTTCCACCACAATACCTTCTAGTTGTATGAGACATATGCTTCAAAATGACATAAGAGGGAAATAATTTATTACATTTAGATAAATTAGAGCAGCTCTAGCACATAGGCAGTCCTTCATACATGTCAACAAATATCACTTTTAATCAGCAAAGCAATCTTTGGAAGTAAGTATCTCTAACAATAAGTTACACATTAAAAGTTTGATATTTCCCTTATTAAATTTCATTCTCTTTGTTATATAGTTAATATGAAATAGTCAGAAATAAAATTATTTTATTCTAAATCATATTAATTTTACTATAAAATGCCTAAAGATAACTCAGTGTGAAGGAATGCAGTGTCCTATGGCCAAAAAAAAATCCAAAAAACAAAAAACCTTAACCTAGAATACAGGATGCCTGGGCTCCAGTCTCTACTCTGTCCCTATTAGCTTGTGACCATGATCAGTTTGCCTCTGTAGTCTTCAGGGAATGGTTTGAATTGGATAAAGTTATATCTTAAATGTATTTCCAGCTCTAATCACATCTTTGATCTTTCTTTCTTCATCAGTCCTGATATTTTTGTAAGGCTTTGACAAGAGAGTAGGTGGAGTGGGGAGTACATCCATGTTAATTTTCTAAGATAAATTTGGCTTCATGTTAGCCTATTTCTTATCTTTTATTTTACTCTTGCTTTGCTTTCTTTTCTCCTTTTTCAAATGTGTATCATCATAAATACACCTTTTTCTTTATCAGCACTTTTTATGAAGAAAAATAAAACCTGTGTCTTTGGTAGAGAAGAACTGAAGCTTTCTAAAACTAAGCCACAACCACAGTCAGTCTTTTTTAAACATTTTAACCTACTTTTGATCAGCTCTGTGTCCCAGTGGTTCCATGGTGATATTATGCTGTACATCTTTAAACTGTTGAAAATATTTTACCAACCATTTTACAATCCATAAAGCTTAAGATGGAGAAACACAGAAAGAACAGATAAAAGGAGCTCACATTTCCATTATTACTTGAAAAGTACCTAGCCTGCCTAGCACATAGGAAGCAATGAACAGAAACCTACTATTGTCAATGCCAATATTAACAAAGTGGAATTAGGACTAAGAGGTGAAACGCTTTCAGCTGTCAGTTATCTGGTAGATGAATGAATATTTCAGAAGAGTTTGAAGATTGTTTTTTGTAGTATACAACAGATGGGTACTGGGTTTCCTGAAATAAGGAGTGAAGGTCCAAAACCAGATGCCAAGGGCACTGAATACCGGTTTTGTGGATTTTGCAACGACCTGGAGATGGTCTTAGAAAAAGGCCCAGAGAATTAGGTAAAGATGTTAAAGCCACTTCCATGGTGATGAATAAGTTTTAAAACACTGAGCCCTGAAGTTAGGTGACACATTTAGTAATAAACACTCATAAATAAATAACAAATAGTTACATAATTGTCATTTTAATATACTTTGCATACATTAGTTCCAAAATTATACTGTAGATGGAATATCTAGAATAATCCAAATGCAAAAAGCACCAATATTACTGTGAGTGTTATATGTTATTTATTTTATTCTTTTTTGAGTCAGGGTGTTGGTCTGTCACCTGGGCTGGAGTGCAGTGGTGAGATCACAGTTCACTGCAATCTCTACCTCACTGGCTCAAGCCATTCTCCAACCTAAGCCACCCAAGTAGCTGGGACTACGGCTGTGCACCAACATGCCCTGCTAATCATTTGTATTTTTTGTAGAGATGAAATCTCACTATATTGCCCAGGCTGGTCTCAGCACTTTGAGGATTACAGACATGAGCCACTGTGCCTGGTCAGATGTTATTCTTGAGGTAAATGAGCAATAATTACAAAAAAAAGTGTGTGAATGATGAGAAAAATAAACATTGTAATTCAGAGAAAATTCAACATTCATTCAAAAAGCATCAATATCTTCTATAAGAAAGAATTTGGGTAGCTACTGGATTTTAAGATCTTAAAAGAAAAAAAGGCAAATTAAACTTGATGGGAATGAAGGAAGGATTTTTAGAAGCACAGAAAACGTCAAATAATTATTGCCTCTTCTGCCAGTAGTATATTTGCATAGCAATTCTTTGATGTTAGGGTATCAGAGAGTGCAAAATATAGCTACTTACCTCCAAAGGAAGCAATATGCATACTTTCTGAATCCTCCAGATTGCCCCCAAAAAGACATGTTAACAAATCATCAACATGCCTTCACTAGCATCAAAACCTTTTTTTAAGTAAATATTTCAATGAAATAATCTTATTTTTCTCTAAAAAAATTATACTCTTAAATGGTGACACATTCTGATTTTTTTCTGAGACAAAATCCTATGTGTAGCAATCACGATGTAAAAATATAGTTCATTTGGAAGATAATAATGGCAGTTTTATTAATATGCTTTCCAAATATTCTCTTTCAATAGCATAATTTGATGAACTATATTAAGAAGCTCATGAGCTGCCAATCATCTGTAAAGGATGGTTGATTTTATGAGGCCAAATATGTAGAATGTGTATATGCTTAATATTCTGTAACAAATAATTTGGGGCAGTAGTATATGGACTGTATGAAATGTAAAGTCATAAATAAATAACTTTTTACTGTTTTTCCCTCTGTTCCCTTACCTTTTCCTCCCTTTTTGAAAGCAAGCATATTAAATAAGGTACACCCAAATTTTAATGTCATTTGGAGATTGAATGGCAGAAAGGCACTTTCTCAGGAAACGTTTAGAAGACCAAAGAAATTAGGAAGTTGAAAACTTTAAGAATGCTGTGTTTTAGGCCTATTATTTTTAATATTTTAGTTTTTAACTTATTTTACTTTTGAAACGGGAAAGAGGAAAAATTGAGAGAAAAATGAAAAGCTTACAGAAAAGAAAACGATAACTCAAATAGGTTCTTTTTAGGAAACTAGGAAATTAGTTTCACAATAAGCCAATGTAATATTCTAAAAACAGTCTGTATTTTAAACTTATGTATTGGTATCGGTTGTATACTAATTTGAAAAAATAACATTAAGTCATTAGAGAATTCTGGAGATTACAGCCTAAGGACAGTAATGCAATTTTCTTTTTCCCAGAATCTGACCTTGTGTATGTTTGGTGTGTGTGTGTGTATGTGTGTGTCCACACATGCATATGGAATTAGGATAAGAGGGGAAGAGAGGAAGTCGATTTACTAATTAATCCATAAAGACATGATAGTTTAAGTGGTATGGGTGATCTAATATGTTTCCAGTGTGTCATTGTACTGTGGGTCTTAGAAAAAAGGGGTGTAGTGTTTTGGGAGGAAAGTTGATGATCCAAGTAAGCCTAGAGAAAATAACAGCACTTTGATAGTTTAGCCAACGGAGGGTACTTAAAGAATCTTCATATTATGTTTCCTTATCCATCGATCTATTCATTCATTTGTTCATTCATTTGACATGTATTTGTTGAGTATCAACTCTTTGTCAGGAATTAACTTGGTATTGGGAATACAAAGAGAACAAACCAGGCATGGTCCTTTTCCCCATGGAATCATCAGTCTGGTTGGGATTGGGATTGGGCATGTATGATGAATAGGAAATAATCGAATACAAAAATACAGTGTTCAGAAAAAAACACAGGAAGCATAGAGGGTATAACGAGCAGTATCTTGCCAGAGGGTGTTCAGGAAAACTTCCCTAAGGCAGTGGCATTTGAACTAAGACTAGAAAGATAAACAAGGTGTACTTAGCTCAAGAGACAAAGGATTTGGAAAGTCATCACAGGAAGAAAGAACAACATAATCAAAAGTTCTGAGGCAGAAGGGACCGTGGTTCATTTAGGAAATGAAAAAAAAAATGTCTGGAAAAGGAAGAGAAATTGCTCACTATGATGTCAGAGCAGTTGACAGTGACCAGATTTTGTCCTTACAGCTATAAAAAGTGATTGTGTATCTAAACAGAGGAATGACATAATTACATCTGTAGTGCTCAGAAGGTCCTTGTCACTCCGTGTAAAAGAAAAGGACTAGAGAGTTTGAAAGTGGATGTGCTGAGACTACTTAGCAGGCTACTGCTGTAGCCAAAGAGAAATTGACAGTAGGCAGAACTAGTAGTGAAAAGAGGACAGAATTGTGAAACATCTGGGGGGAAATATCAGCTCCTGGAATCTTAAGAATTAATTGCGACCGGGCACGGTGCCTCATGCCTGTAATCCCAGCACTTTGGGAGGCCAAGGCGGGCGGATCATCTGAGGTCGGAGTTCGAGACCAGCCTGACCAACATGGAGACCCCCCCTCTCTACTAAAAATACAAAATTAGCTGGGTGTGGTGGCACATGTCTGTAATCCCAGCTACTCGGAAGGCTGAGGTAGGAGAATCACTTGAATCCAGGAGGAGGAGGTTGCAGTGAGCCGAGATCGTGCCATTGCACTCCAGCCTGGGCAACAAGAGCGAAACTCCATCTAAAAAAAAAAAAAAAAAAAAAAAAATTAATTGCGATGGAAAAGATAGTGAAGTAAAAGAGGCCTAGCAAATTTGAAGTATTATTGGCTTATTCTCAGGGAGTATTTTATGTTTGAGTTACAGAGTTTGAAGAGCATTTTCAGAGTCCAAAGAAGACCAGAAGGAAACAGAAATGTAGGGGGGAAAAAAATAGAACAAGGGAGTGAATTTTTAAATTGAAATGATATGGAAAGCTGCTGAGATAAAGATTGAAAATGTTTTTTTGTTTTTTGTTTTTTTGTGTTTTTTTTTGAGATAGAGTCATGCTCTGTCGCCCAGGCTGGAGTGCAGTGGCGCGATCTCGGCTCACTGCAAGCTCCGCCTCCCGGGTTCATGCAATTCTCCTGCCTCAGCCTCCCGAGTAGCTGGGACTACAGGTGCACACCACCATGCCCGGCTGATTTTTGTATTTTTAGTAGAGACGGGGTTCCTCCATGTTGGCCAGGCTGGTCTCAAACCCCTGACCTCAGGTGATCCGCCTACCTCAACCTCCCAAAGTGCTGCGATTACAGGTGTGAGCCACTGCACGTGGCTTGGAATGCAATTTTGATGTGGCTTTGCCCACCTCTGCTTTGCCCCCATCTGTAAGGTGTAGATTTCCAGGGATAGCAGCTGTTTCCTAGGACTCCTCCTTTTTAGCATAATCTCTTAAGATCCCTTCAGCCCCTTGAGGCTACTCATAACTCTCCTCTGCTATTTGGGCACTCAAGTTTTTAGCATCTTGCTCTTCCCTGATTAACAATTCAGCGAATGCATCAAAGAGGGAACCCCCTGAGTTTGGAATTATTTCCCTGAACCTCCCTTCTCCAAATTTTGGCTGATTCAGTCATGGATGACTTGCCAGAAGCAAACCCCAATTTTTGTCTCACCTTCCCCTTGTGAGGTTGTCAAATCTCTCCCTGCGTTGCTGCCTCTTTCCTGCATGTCTCTGACTGGTTTATTGGAGTCTAGTTCTATGCTACTTATGAGCAAATGTCCCTAGCAGAAAAACAGCTCACATAGTACCAGCTCACATTTTTGGGGTTCCCTTTTTCCCGAGATCTTGGCCTCTCACATGCTGCTTTCTTAAGAAGCTCTGCAAAATATTCAAACGAATTGATTTTATATTTGGACTGACTCATCCCGTTGTTCTTAGCGGGGGCATGGCCTTGCTGGAAACTCCTTCGTTATATCCCAAGTTGGCTTCATCTCGCATTAAATTCCGTGATTAATGCAATGAAAATCTCAACAATTATATTTAATGTGTTCTCTGATGCTGTGATATCATTATAGTGGTGATGCATTCAATGCTCTGATTTTGCATGGAATCCTTTAAAATTACATGCTGCTGGCATCCAATACTCAGCATAAAAGCAACGTTTTTAAAATCAAAGCATCTTTTCTCTTCGGGATAGTGTACAGTTTTCTAAAGATAAACAAGGACCAGAGTTTTGGGTTCAATTCACAATTTTCAGTCCATGGATTTTTGAATGGCCTCTGACAAAGGGAAAGCATGTTTTCTCATTCCAATGATTACAGGCACAGGGAGGTGCCAGATGGAGCTTTAAGGGCTAACAATGCTCTCTTTAATCTTCATCATTTTTAACAGAAGAGCTTTCATTTTACCACATTTGTATAATTAAATTATGAAACAGATTTCGTACATGCTTCAGCTTATTCTCTAAGAATTTTCTAGGAGCACCTTAGGAGGCAATTAAATAGCCTCATTCCTCATGTGTAAAGTTGAGTTAAAATTGTAATTCATTTGATATGAAGGAACTTCATATTTGGTATGTTGCAGGCCTATGGCCTTCTTGAAATTGTCCTCCTTCCATTGTCCTTTTCTTTTTCTTGTTAGTGATTGGATGTAGACCCTCTCTAGTGCATTGTGGGTATGAACTATATACTAGCAGATTCAGAACCATGCCTTCTAAAACTCTGTAGTTTCTTTACAAGTTTCCATTGGAAATCAAGATAAAAACTCTTGATACCATGAGATAAGTAAACATTTATTTCCATACAATATTCTTGCAACATTCTCTTAGGCTACCATAGAGAAGATTGTTTTTCACCTGTTATGTAAGCTGAAGAGATCTTTCTTTAGTAAACCGGGATGGTTAAATCTTTCACAAGGTTTGAACAATCCAACTCTTAACTTCCTGATCTCTACTGTCTTAGTATTTACGGAATGAGAATTGAGCAGAGGGGTGTTAATAGGTGTTTCTTTCGAATATTGACACGTAGCTTTCAAAGAATCGAAACACCAACTTTGGACATTTGTGTTGATGTGTGCTTAAACCAGTGCCTTAAGAATCAGGCATGGTGCCAATGTCAATAAATAGGACTTTAGAGTATGATGATTCTGATGTAAACTAGCCATCTCCTTGGGTAATTTACTTAATTACTCAGCCCTGTACAAATGAAAGAATATAACAATAACAATATTGTCCGCAAAGATTTCTAAAATGCTAGTCAAAGGATGTTTGTGAAAGCACTTTGTAATCACTGAATACCAGGTAAATGTTAGATTTTATAACAACTAATTATTAATAAGAAGAGCAATACCAATAAAAAGGAACTTACACATGTTCTTAAAGAGCCGAATAAATTCCAAACCATAATCTAATACTTTTATTAAGTAGACAATGTACTTTAGGTAGAGAAAATTGAATTCAGAATATAGTATTTCCTTAACATCTTGGTATAAAAATTATTGTGAATCTTGCTTTTATTAGCATGACTTTTAAACGCAGAATTAGATCTACCATCGTAGGTAGGTACTTCCAATATTTTAATCTGCAAATGACCCATCATGTAACTTATTTAGAATGCATGGACACTTGGATTCCAAATGACTGTTAATTCCATAGAGATGGCAATTTGGATAACTTGAAGAAAGGCATCAGCATTGCGTTTCATTTTGGTTATGTTCTCATTCTAATCTGAGTTAATATTCATAAAACCATTATCCTACATTAAGCTGTGACCTAGTCTTGGTTCAAAGCTTCTTTGTTTATTCGTCACCATTTTGTAGAATAGTCATATAAACTACTTCATAGATAGTTTGGTGCACTACTTTTTCCCCAGAGTACATCTATTGGTATGTTTATTATATCAAGTATTTCAATAAACCACAATTTCCTGCAAATGGTTGTCTGAATGCTTCTAGAATATGTTTGTATTTTGTGGAAAGCATGATTTTAAGGCTATGTAAAAAAAAAACAAAAAGAAAGCCCAGCTGAGAATTTATATGCTGCTGGGAAAACCAAATGGTAAGATAAGGATGTCTAGCAAAAGTACAGAGCTATATTATGTAAGTGTTTTCCTACCTGCAGAGTGAAAGTGTTTCTATTCATTTTAAGAGAAAGTCAAGGGGAATTTAGGAGCAGGAATGAAAAAGTTGAGCCTCTCCTGCCAATAAAACATCAGCATGAGGAGTTTGTTTACTTCCATAAAAAATTCAGAGCTTCCTTTGCCTGAGGTGGTCCCTGGGATCTGGGTGGTGTCACAAAGTCTTGTATGATGGAAGGAGGGCTAGGAGGGCTTACGCTCCTCAGCATGCAGAGACCCAGAGAAGTGTGTTTTGCCTCACTTTCTCATTTGTTTTATGAAAATCCTGTTTTCTTGGATTTTGCCAAACACCTTTTGCATCCTTCTCCCTTTTTTCCATGTATAGTTCTAGTGGTGCATGGGCGGTGAAAGTATCTGAGAAAGGTCAGCACAAAGCTGCAGAATTCATTTGTTAATGTTTGCGCGCGTGCACACACACACACACAATCAATCAATCAATACAGTACAGACAACTGGGAATGAACACAGACAGTAAGCAGAGGGGTATTCCCTTAGCTGCCAACCAAACAAAACTACAACAATGACTTTCTGTTCCTTTTGGATATTGGTCTGTAACTGCCCTTTCATTTCTACAGGTTTTCCTTTCATTTCATGTGCTTTTAAATTCCTTGGCTCAAGGATTTCCTAATCTCTTTCTGTGGTCTCTGGGATGACACAGCCAGTGGGAAAGGCAAAGTGTCATGATTTAAAGTTCAGCTTCAATTTTCTAGTTTGTCCTCCCTTGGCTTTGCTGAGTGTTGTTACTTTCTGAGCTGCATCTTCCCACGCATTCTGTGGTCTTACAAACTGGCAAGGACCCAGCCTGGTACTGAGCGTCAGTCATAAAGTCTTGGATTTGCCTAAGGATGTTGTTAATCCTATTGTGTTCATTATTATGAAATACTTACAAAACTGCAGAAAAGAAAAACCCTCAGTATTTTACTTACAAAACTGCAGAAAAGAAAAACCCTCAATATTTTGTCACAAAAGAGTACTAGAACTTTTTAAAAAACAACACAATAAAAGTTGTGCCTGTCACATATTGACATCAGCCCAATTCAAAGGGTATTTTTTTGTTTAACCCCTACAAAGTAATAAAGCATTTAGGAGAAAAAGGTAGATTAAAAGGTACAGGCTCCATTTTGAAATAATTCAGGGACCAATGCAGACACAAATAAATAAGTCTAGTTACGTTCAGATTGAGCATGTTATTTTTGTTATGATAAAGTAATAATCATACAGAAAATGAAGAAATTATTTATTTAGAGACAGGGTCTCACTCTGTCACCCAGGCTGGAGAGCAGAGGAACGATCACAGCTTACTGCAACCTGGACCTCCCTGGACTCAGGTGATCCTCCCATCTCAGCCACCTGAGTAGCTGGGACCACAGGCCAACGCCACTAAGGCTGGCGACTCTTTGAATTTCTTGTAGAGACAAGGTTTTGCCATATTGCCAAGCTGAAATTCTATATGTCTAGGTGAAATTCTGAAGAATTTAAATTAGGAAGGCATGTTATCCAACATGAATAAAACCACATAAGGAAAATTTAAGGAAATAAACAATCAGAGAATTGAGAAATATTTATGTGCCTTATTTAATAAATAGTTATTGAACATTTACAATAATGTTTAATAAAATAACATGTTGTAGTTATTCCATAACTAGAAGATTGTGTTTTTCTAATTCTATCATTCAATCTATATTTATTCCTGATACTTTTTAAAGAAGTTTATTCTAATATCAATTTGGAATATTTGCTAACATTGAAACACAATTTTTACTAAAAAAAAAAAAGCACAAATGCTATTTCTTTTCCTATAATCACTCAATCTTTAAATAAGTAGTTTGTTTTATAATTCACTTGGTGAAACAATTAGGGTTAGAAGGTCCTAATTATGGCCTTAGAGCCTATGGTGAGAATTTTTAATCTTCATTTCTGTGTAATAACAAAATAATTCAAGAATTTTAGGCAACAGAATGAAATGTGCAGATTTGTGCTTTTTGCATAGTGTCATATATTTCCTCCCTTTTGTATGTCTTTATAAACTGAGGAATATCCTACATAGATAAAACTACACAAATCTTAAGTGTACTTAGAGTTCAATGAATTTTTTTATATATATAACCACTACCGAGATCTAGATATAGAACATTTCCAACATACCAGGAAGTTTCCTCATGATCTTTCTCAGCCTCAAGATGCACTCAAATGACCCCTGTCACCTGATATTCACATCCTTGTAGTCTCCTTGCACAATAAATAAGGCTATATTTTTGTGTAGACAAAATGGCATGTGATCTTTGAGACTAGATTATCAAAGTCATTATGCCTTCTTTCTTGTACCCATGTTGCTTTCCTGGATTAGATACTCTGGGGGACATCAGGTGCCATATCATGAGGAGTCTCAAGCATTTCTATGAAGTAGTCCACATGATGTAGAACTGAGGCTGTCTCCTGCCAAAAGCCATTACCAGCTTGCTAGGCATGTGAATGAACCATCTTGGAAACAAATCCACTAGCACTATCAAGCCTTCAGACAACCATAGTCTTCATTCAGTCAGTATCCTAATGCAATCTCATGAGAGACTCCAAGCCAACACTAAGCTGCTCAACAATTTCGGACCTATTGTGCGAGATAATAATGATTTATTGTTGGTTTTAACTATCACATTTTGACGTAAGCTGTTACACAGCAATAGATAACTAATACAACTGCCCAGAGAGTACCACCTAGATTGAACAACTGCCTCGGTGTGCCGGAAAATAAAAATTGCCCCAGATCTGAGACTTCTAGTGCAAAAATCAGGAAAATTCCAGGCAAAACTGGATTGAGTTGGTCAATCTAATTACGATATCTATCTCCACAGATTAGTTTTGGCTGTTGTTGGACTTTATGTTAATGGAACCATACAGTATATACTCTTTTGTTCTGAATTATTTTGCTCCAGGTATTTTTGAGATATATTGAAGTCTCTAGGTGTGCAAATAATTTTTTGTTGTTGTCAACATTTCATAATATAAATATAACACATTTTTAAAACTTCCTCATACCATCGATAGACATTTATTTTCTTTTATCCAATTTGAGGATATTATGGATTAAACTGCTATTTTTTAGGAAGCTAGGACATTCTTGTACATGTTTTTTCATAGAGTTAGGCATGCACTTCTCCTAGGAATATGCATAGAAGTAGAATTGCTGGGTCATGAAGAAAAAGATTGTTTAGTTTTTATCAAAGATATTTTCAAAGTTGTTCTATCATTTTATACTTCTACCAACAATAGTTGATGATTCTAGTTGCTCCATTTTCTCACCAACAGAGTGTGGTATTCATTGTTAGTTTAAGTCATTTCAGCAGATGTGTAATGGTATCTTAGTTTAGCTTTAATTTGCATTTCCTTTATGCTTCTTGGTCTGGGATCATTTAGGTATCCCCTTTTGTGATATATCTGCTTAAATCTTTTCTCATTTTATCTTTTATTTTGATCTGTATCTTACTGACACAAAGAATTTTTAGGACTTCTTTATATATTCAGGATATGACTAGTTTACTGCATACATGTATTGACACTGTCTCTTCCCAATAAAAGATTTGTATTTTAATCTCCTAATATTGTCTGTTGTCTAGCAGAAATGTTTACATTAAACAAAATCCAATTTATCTAACTTTTGCTTTATGTCTAGTGTTTTTTAGGTGTTGTTCAAGAAGTTTTGCCTACTCCAATCTTATGAAGATATTAGCCTATGTTTTCTTCCGTAAGCTTTGTAGTTTTAGGTGTCACATTTAAGACCATGAGCTATTTCCAGTTAATTTTCGTGTAAGGCATGAAGAAAGGTTGAGGTTCGTGTTTCTCTGTAATACCCAATGGATTCAGTAACATTTATTGAAGGGACATCCAATAACCTCTGAATTGTGGTGTGTTTTTGTTGTAATAATTGGATATGTATATAAAAGTGGGTCTTCAAGTGCAATGTGACCCTGGATTGAATCCTGGAACAGAAAACGGGCATTAGTGGAAAAACCTGGTAATTCCTCAATAAAGTCTGGAGCTTAGTAGTAATGTACTAATGTCGGCTTCTTAGTTTTGACAAATGTACCATGAAAATGTAAGATGTCAATATTAGAGGAAACTGGAGGAGGGAGTATATGGAACCTTGCCATATGATTTTACAAATTTCAAAAATATTTGAAATTACTCCAATATAAGTAGTTTATTTTTAAGAAGTTGGGTCTGCTTGGACTCAGTTTTGTTTCTTCCATTTATTTTTCTACCTGTGCATTGATTCCACAATGCCTTAATTACTGTAGCTATGTAGAAATTCTTGAAATCTCTGATGGCTTTAACCAGTTGAATGTGTGTAGTGGAAGTGAATTTTGCCAGTTTTGGAATTATGCCTTAAGGAAATCTGTCAGACTCTGCTTTGCACTTTTAGTAGCCAAGAATCTCCAACTAAGATGTTCAACTGTCCCCACTGGAGCTGTGACATGGCAAGAAAGAGAGAGGTTCAGCTATCTCAGAATCTTACTTGAGCCCAGCCTTTAAGATATTCCAGAGTGAGGCATCTTGGAACACCAGGTTATTGAAGCTGTTACTTGTATAATACTAAAGAGAATTCTTGAGCTGTGTCTGGTTAAGAATGGTAAAAGATGTTTTCTAAGCCACTGAATTTTGAAGCTGTTTATTACGCTACAACAGCTAACCAAAATAAAAGCTCAAAACAAAGGCCTAGGCTAAAGGTAGGGTAGGTGATAATTGAAGTTAAGAAAGAAGACACAAGTGACTGGGGGAAGGCAAGCAATATATAGATGTGTCAAGTAAAAGGAAAGCAGATGGCCTAAGATAATGATCTCAGGGATACATTGCATGGCTCTTTCCAAGAGATGAAAGGAAGAAAAATGAATCATAATAATGAGTAGCCACTTCTGCTTCTGGTCATGGGGGAATGCAGGGATTAGATTTACTCTCCTGCCTTAAGCAATGAAATACATGTAACAAAATATCATTTTTAAAAGTTTTCACTCTCAGGCAATAAGCAGTACAGAACTGATCCTAAAGAGAAATGGAACAAACATGCTGAACTCTATGGCGGCACCAATTTATACCCAGAAGCAACTTCTGAAACATGGTACAGGAAAAGAGCTTCCAAACAGAGCCAATTGTCTTGCTTAGTTGAGAAGACAGAGATTAAAGTTTAGCAAAACTGCTGAAGGCAGAATTTGTAAGGCAGAATGTTGAAAAATCATGGTACCAAGAGTAAGCTCCAGAAATCAGCACCAGCATCCCCTTGACTCTTTCTGCGAATGCCTATCTACACCCACAGAAGGTAAAACTTCACAAGGACAGTTGGGGGTGGCAAAGAGGTGGGGATGCCAGGACTCTTTAAAGTGCTCAGTTCCCCAGTGTGCAACAGGCACTGGGAAATGTTTGAATTCTGGCTGGTGTGCCCTGCTAACCTTAAAAACAGGCTTCCGAGAGATCAAACTGATCTGCAAGTAACTTAATTGCCTACCGAAGCAAACTTCAAAATTCTGAAGGGAAAGAAACAAAATCCAAAGAACCAAAACTCTTTAAAGAGAGAAAACAAAATTTAACGGACAACAATGTAATAGTCAAAATATCACATATCTAATAAAAAATTGTTAAGCATAAAAACCAAAAAAAGTGACTGATTAGCATAGTATTTAGTCAATAAAAGCAGCAGTATTTCTAATTCTATCATCTATAAGATGAAAATGCCAGAGTATGTTCTAAGTGTGCTCAATATGTTCAAGGACGAAACTTAATTGTGACTAGAGTGAAATGAGAAAGGAGACCCATGAAAAACAAAAGAACTTCTAGTTCCTTCTATCTGCTTTCCTTTTATTCCATACATCTACATATTGCTCCCCTCCCCCAGTCACTTCTGTCTTATTTCTTAACTTCAAATACAATGTCTGAAATGGAAAATTCAGTGGATAGGATTCCAAATAGATTAGTCACCGTGGTGACAGTTGCATTGGTGTATACACACTGCTGTATACATTTGTAAAAACTTGCCAGAATGCAGACCTAAGTGGGTATACTTTATAATATGTAAGTTATATATCTCAACAAAATTGAATTTAAAAATAGTGTAAAAAAATAGCTGGAATGCAGGATCTGGATAGGGAGTGAGAATAGTGGAAAAAATATTAGGAATTACGTGTTAATTCAGATAATAAAGGATCTTGAATTTTATCTTAAAATTGTGGCACTTTATTCTGCTTTCAAGCTGCTGTAATATCAAATTCTCACATTTTGTCATTGAACATGCTACTCTATGAATCAGTTTATTATCGTATCATATAACCAGACACATAAGAGACTTATTCAAAAATCCAGATACGAACCAGAATTTTTCACAACGCTAAATTTGGTCTGATAACTGATGCTAGTTGTCTGAGGAATTAGCCCCTGTATGAAAGTCTACTCATGAAATTATTAGAAGGAACTCCATGAGCATAGCATAAATCAAATAGACTTTAGTACTCTGACTGGGGTATTTATAAGGTGAAGTGATAAATACTTCTTTTCTACATTTAGAAATATTATTTATGATCATATTCTTTAGGTGATTATGAACAAACAAAGGACGCTCCTTTTTCATTGCTCCATGATGATCATTCTCCAAATAACATGTTCTAAGGGTGACATAACTTTAAAATTTTCAAAGCATCTTCATATATACATTTATTAGTTTTAATTATACTAGTCATAGACAGTTATACTGGCTTTGTTTATATTAGCTTTGTTATAGCTTTGTTTTTGTTTTGTTTTATTTTGAGATGGAGTCTTGCTCTGTTGCCAGGCTGGAGTGCAGTGGCTCGATCTCGGCTCACTGCAACCTCCGCCTCCTGGGTTCAAGTGATTCTCCTGCCTTAGCCTCCCCAGCTGGAACTACAGGTGCACGCCACCACACACTGCTAATTTTTATATTTTTAATAGAGACAGGGTTTCACCATGTTGGCCAGGATGGTCTCAATCTCTTGACCTCATGATCTGCCACCGCAGCCTCCCAAAGTGCTGGGATTACAAGTGTGACCTAAAAGGTGAAGGAGAAGAGAAACAAAACTGACACTTACTGAACATTTATGATGTGTCAAGCAGTGTAATACAGAACCTCTACATGCTGTCTGAGTTTATCCACACAACACCCTTGAGAGATGAAGATTTATATCTCTGTTAATAGACGAAGAAACAGAGACTGTGGAGCAAATGTACAGGCAAGTAATAAATTAACAAAGAGCAAATGTTGGAATCCAAGTATCTGGCTTCAGAAATCTATTTTGCAAACGAGAACTGCCTTGTGAAAGTTCCTAAAGAGAATCTAACTTGAGTCCAGCATATTTCATTCCAAAGCAGCGTCCTTCACTGAGCACCTACTGGTCAAACTTGATATTAACCTACTAGTCATTAAAATTAGTTTTATAATATAACAAGCTTTAATCATTCTTAAACCTGTGATTAATTTTTACTTATTTGAATGTTAAAAAAGTAGCCATAAACATAAAATTTTATCGGGAACAAGACTGAAGCCAAACTTTTATATTGGTGATTTTTTTTTTTTTTTTTTTTGAGATGGCATCTCGCTCTGTCACCGTGGCTGGAGTGCAATGGCGTGATCTCGGCTCACTGCAACCTCCACCTCCCGGGTTCAGGCGATTCTCCTGCCTCAGCCTCCCGAGTAGCTGGGACTACAGGCGCCTGCCACCACGCCCAGCTAATTTTTATACTTTTAATAGAGACGGGGTTTCACCATGTTGGCCAGGATGGTCTCGATCTCTTGACCTTGTGATCCGCCCTCCTCGGCCTCCCAAAGTGCTGGGATTACAGGCGTGAGCCACCGCGCCCAGCCTATATTGTTGATTTTTAAGATGTTTAACATCTATTTTTTTCTATAGTTTGCAGATTTTCATAGACTGCATTCACAGAATCATTTTCTGACACAATCAACTCATTCTTTTATTTAACTTCTAACAATTGACTCTAGTTTCCTATTTTGAAACATGTCTGTCTTAATTATTGGCACATAGTATTGCTCTTTCTCCAGACATGCTGCTTTTTCTCATGTCGGGAAGCATTACAGCTTTCCCCCTAGAGTCTACAACATGAAATATTTGCTGAGAGTGATGTCTCTAATTTGATAGTCCAAGATTCCCCCGGGATGTAACTGGGGACTCATACGAAGGTGATTTTAAAACATTTTTAATGCCTAGAATGAATAAGATAAATACCTTTATAGCAAGATAGTACAAAATAGTCTTATAAAAAGTAGAGATACATTTAAAATTTTTGTGGGAATTAACAGGCAATTAACAGGGCTATTTTGTTCCCACTGTGCTCTCTACAATGAAAAGAATCATGGACCCAAATGAAACTTACAGAAGAAGCTTGTGATGTGGCTGAGCAATTTCCATTCTCTTTTAAAGAACAAAGCAATAGAGCTAGCTTTTCAACTACCAAATATATCCTTTTAAATAGAATTGAAAACACTTGATCTCTCACCATGACATTGAAATGCTCTTAATTTTTAAAACAACACATTAGGCTAATTAAGTCATGTTTAGAAATGTAGTTCCCTGTGATTAGACTTGTTCTCAAGTCAGTAACAGCTGACAGCACCATGCTGTTTATAATAAAGAGTAGAAAACAATGTTGGAACTGTGGATTTAACTAATACTTTTGAAATAATTTCTAATCAGTTGATGGATTGCATAAATCTAAAGTACTGCCTTCTTTCTCTTTGGTTTTATGGTTCATGGAATTTCAGAGAGTTAAAGAAGGTCAGACACATTCAGCTGTTTAAACAGGTGTAAAACCTCACCAGTTTATCTAAAAATTACCCCTATTTAGGCAAAACTCGTATCATTTCCTAGAATTTTGTTTGTGTGTGCGTCACCTCACCAAAGTGGTGCTCTTACAAATTAAATGGATTCAAGTATATTTTTCTTGTGAGTATTGATACTTTAGGCGATTTTGCCTGAAGAGGGCAGTGCTTCACCAATGGACGGAATCTCTAAGAGTAAAATTATGGAGACCGCAGTGACTACACTACAGAGAAAGGGCAATTACAGTAGATTACTTAATCAGCATACTTGAACAGATAGACGTTTTGCTTGCTATCAATATCTGTTTGATTATAGTAGCATATTGTTAATATGTCATCTTTACCTATCTTTGCCCAGCGGATAATGTCAGGAAATAAAGGACTGCAAATGTATTCAAAAACATACCTATGCTACATGAACATGTTTCTTAAATATAATATTCTTGCATGGACATAATAAAGTCACTATTTTTTTGCTAGCTGAAATCAGAGTTGTTTTCAGGGAAAGAATGGTCTTTTTAAAGGAAAATCCCTGCTGAGTCACTTAAAGGTGTAAGGTAACATGTGACTGTTTGGGTGTGAAGGAGGCTAGCAGAGGATGGTCAAACATTCTACCTAAGAAGAAAACAAAAAGGAATTGAGGGACATTGAGGGTACCTAGAGGCAGGAGAGAGTCTGGGGTCTGGTTGCTTAAAATTATTTAAATTAAATCTTACTAAGAGAGGAGAGTTCTAGATTTTAAATTATCACTGTAGTCTTGTGAGGTCTCTCTCCTACCTGCTATGAATTTCCACAGAAAATCTATTACGTTCAATTGGCTTGTGGGCTTGTCATTAAGGGTGAGTACAGACATCAATAGAAAAATCTTTTTCACATAGCAAATACATGAATAAATACGCGAATGAATTGATTATTATATTCAGATGCATTCTCTGTGACCACTGGTCATAATTACACAAGTTATGTTCTAATATTGAAAGACCATTCAGGTCCCAGAAATACCTAGGCCAGTTCATGTCTTCATTGAATGGCACCTGCTCGGCTTTTGTGAATTCTGAGATTTGCCTTTTGCAGTCTTCTACCTCTGTCTTTCCACTGAGCTGTCAGTCACACTTAGGCCTTTAGCTGTTCTATCTATTGGGTGGCCAGTGTTCTTCACTACACTGAAATTGCTGCTGTGAGTTGCGAAAATAGAAAGTGAAAGTTATTGAAAACCATGTCAAAGACTAGTAAAGAAGCTATGATTCAGGTCAGAGATTGTGTGTGATTCTGTAAGTAACTTAAATAAACTTCAGCGTGAGGTCTCTATTTTGGTTGCTCAGGTGACCACTGTCCTCTCTTTTGTTGTTTTTCTGATACGTTCTGTGCAATAGATATTACTAAATAAATAGGAGGATATTCTATGCGAGGATACCTTGGAATGATGAAACATCACATAAAAAGTGGAGAAAAAATTTAGTTATGAAAAGCTAAGGGAAGACGTCTAGCAGAAAGAAGACGATGAGAATGATTTACATAAATTAAAAAAGGTATTAGTAGTAATAAGTGCACTGGTATAAAATTTACTGCAGGTTAAAAGTATTTTTGAATGAACCATGTGAATATGATGAAAGATATATATGTATATATATAAAATGCAAGCTAACATATACAGAATTATTTAATGGGTGTTGAGAAATATTCTTTCCTGCAAAATGACACTTTGGATTATTTTTCTTGATATCATTGCCAAAATGAATGTTAAAAAGGAGTAAATTCAGTAAAAGTGAGCAGAACAACATATTAACATAAAGTCTCAAAAATAGTTCTGTGTGTGGGAGAGAAGATGGTTGCTCTAAACTTCATTAAGCCAATTGTTGAGGAGACATCTGGAATCTGATACTAGGGGATGCCAGAGCAATAAATGTGCATAGTGATTTTGTGTTAAAATGCAGCAGTCTAAATAGGGTTTGTCTGAATAAAATGCATTATTTAGTAATGCCATTGAGTTGCCTCCCCGGGCTCTTGTCGGTGTTGGAGAAGGATGTGAGACACAGGGAAAGGGTGAAGGGCGCAGTCTCCAGGAGAGCACAGAGACAAATAAGTGATGGGCAACCAAGGCCTGCTCCCCAAACTGGATCAGTCTAGATCCTACTTAGACAGCTGAGAAATTTGTTTTTTTCTTTCAGAATTATAAACTCACTGAGGGTAGCAATCATGTATACTCTCTATCCCCATTAACTAAAATAATGGCTATTCAGTAAAAAACTATTGAATTAATGGATAGTTTATTTGCCAAGAAATAAATTCTGTCAACTTTTTTTGGAAGCACATGTCATTCAGAATTCTATGTAGTAAGAGTTTAAAGAAAAATTCTTGTGAAATATCAAGAGGTTGATGCAACTGTGTATGTATGCATTGTTTCATTAAATGAACAATGAGGCCCTACTTTTAAAAAGGTGAATGAGACCCAGCAACTGCCTTCAAGAGTTGTAAAGTTCATTGGAGACAAGTTTTACATGAGTACATTTGCTTTTTGTCTGAGAACTTTATACCCACTGTTCCTTTAAATAATGTCAATTCATTTCTTATGTATGGGAAATGAAATCTTATATTCAATAATAGAGTAGATGTAAAAGTATATGTATTAAAATATCACACTTTACTCCACAAGTTTGTACAATTATTATGTGTTAGTTAAAATATTGTTTTAAATTTTTTTCTTGCAAAAAAATGCATATCCAAGGACACTTTTATAAACTTTTATTTTTACTTTTATATTATTGCCAAAGACCCCTCCACAATGATGGTTTGGGGCAACAACATGATATATGAAATATATTTTCTTGAAAGGTAAATCTAAGCAATGAAACTAGATTTATTTAAAAATCTTACATTGATGCCATAACCTTTTGTGATACCTCTGTCTCAATGACATGCTTTTTTTCAGCCCTGGTACTGTGCATCAAATATCTCATCTTTAAGGTACTTATAAGTTGAAATTCATGCATTATTTAAGTCTTGTATTTCATAAGCATTTAACAAGTGCCTGCTAGAGGCCAGGAACTGTTCTGTACAACAGTGATTGACTAAACAGAAAATACAACAATCTTGCACTCACAGAGCTTCTCTTCTAGCTCATTCTGAGCCTTATTTTTCTCCCTATACCATTTGCACAACCACTTTATGTCTGCTCCATGTATTTCTGCACCTGTGTAGCTTGTCCATAATGGTCAATTTCTTCCAGCCAGAGTCATTTTTCTTATTCCCAGGGATTTTTAAGACCTGTGTATCTTCAAAGCCATGATCAGCTCTTGGCCTAACTCTGGTTAACATTCTTAGTTTGTATGAGTTGGTCATTTCTACATTTGGGTGCTCTTGCCTTCATCAAAGAAAAGTACTTTTTTAAAAGGCCAGTTTTTGGTTGCTATTTCAAAGCAGGTCTTTCAAACATATACAAATGAATTTCTTTTAAAAAAAAGTATCATTAAAGATTGTGCTCAGCGTAAATCCCCCTGCCCCTGACTCTCACTCCAATGACAGACACCTTTGCTTTCTATTTTCTACATCCTTTGACTGTTTGAAGCTTCACAAGCAGGTATTACTTTTTCTATTCACAGAAAACAGTAAAGATATTAAAATTTTGAGGTAGCATCTAAGGATATGTGTTAAACAAATATATTTTCAAAAGAGATTTTCAAATAGTAAGTATAATTTATAAGAGCTTTTGAAAGAGTTCTAAGAAATTCACTTGAGTATTTCTTCTATAGAATATGGATGATAAGAAATATGTCACCAGCCTCATCTGCTGTATAATTAGAAAAACCATGAAAGACAGAAGTATTTATCCTCCATAATTTGATTGGAAATCTGAACTGTTCCCATTTTAGCATGAAATTTATTTGTTAATTTAATAAATTACTGCGAAAGTGGATGTTAAGTATAAAAGAAGAAATTTTTGTAGAGCACGATTCAAAATACAGTGAATAGAGTTTAGAATTCGATTGTAATTTCCAAAGGCCCTTAGTCAGATTAACAAATCTAGCCAAAACATGACTCCTGATTTTTTGCTTTTTTCCCGTTCCAATCCCCATTCTAACCATCATTCTATTTTTGAGACATTTCTCACCTTACCACATCAAGGCCCACACTCTGGATAGCTAAATATTGAGATGGCTTAAGAATCATGGATATGATTTAATCATCCATGGATTTGTGTCCTTGATTTCATTTTTCATTCTTTATCCTCTCCCAAATCCTCCAGAAATGCTTGCATATGTCATTTGTAATGATTCTTCCACTGATGTACATTTTTTTGGTTGTTTTCAGATAGCTCAATGCCACTTCTATATGAGATCTTTAAGAATATTTTTGTGGCCCCATCCCTAGAGAAGTGATTGTCACCTAATAAGTAATATTTGTTGAAAATAGCACTATTTTAATGAATCTTTAACATGAGAAATTAGGTAACCGAAATGCTATCAGAAAAGCAAAGTGCTCTTGAAGAAATGCTATTGTAGAGCATGATGCTTCAAATGGAATGAATAAAATCTGAGCGCATACTCCCAAATGCTTTCTTATGTATTATCCTAATTATTTGGAGGTATTTGGAAAAGCTTTTAAATGATTATAAAGTAAAGATACACCGTTGTAGTAGCCAACTTCACTGATGGCCCCCAGTGACTCTCACCTACACTTTAAATGAATAAGGTTGACCTATAAAGCAAGCAGAAGATGAGGGATGTTATTACAATATCGGCCTTTCTCTCTTGGGCCATTTACTTTGGGGAAAGTGAGCTGCCAGGTCATGAGGACCCTCAAGTAGCGCTGTGGAGAGATCTCTGTGGCAAGGAACAGAATGCTCCAAACAACAGCCAGCACCCACTTGCCAGGCATGTGAGCAGACCCCCTTAGACACAATCCAATGGCCACAGTCACACCTGCAGATGACAGCAGTCCTGGCCAACACTTTGAGTTTGAATCTTATGAGGGGTCCTGAGCCGGAAGCTCTCAGCTAAACCTCTCCCAAATTCCTTATCCACAAAAGACATCATATAATAAACATTTATTGTTCTAAGCTGTAAGATTTTAAATAAATTTGTTATGCAGCACTAGTTAACTAATATAACCACATTTACTAAAGAAATCACTGTAATTTTAAAAGCTTTGTCTAGCCTTCGTGCCATCACATTACAGCGTGACAATATTATTGAAGTAAGAAAAAAATGACTTTCTGACAGAACATAACTATTTTCTATGAGATCATAACCATGAAAACTCTCCAGGGCAGGCATATTTAAATATATCTTGCTCTTGATCATTTTTATTTTTAACAATGCTAGAAGTCAACATAGCAAGTCTTATTAGTGCAGAGTTATGGGAACTTGATCTTGGAAATTGTTTTATAGCTTTTGATTTTAAAATACTATGAATATTTAATTCGGGTGGTGTTAAATTAAAATGTATCTCTTATTTTTACTATTCCAAACTTAATTTTAATAAAGTATCCTCAAAATTTAAAAAGGATGAACCATGAATATATGCACATAATTTATCTGAAAACAAAGTGATACATTTTGCTATTTTTTTTTACCTGTTATGCTTAATCTGTTTTTTAAAACCTTTTTAAAATGGTAACTAAGATGCCTAGCATTAAAAGGTAAGCATTAATCTTGTTCTAAATTAGAATGATAGGCTGATGTAGTTCGTTTCTTTCTCGGTCTTTATACTGGAAAAGAAATGCAAAGAGAGGTAACAATTCACCTATCTTTCTGGTAATTATATTCTATTATTCTTTTCTATTTATTCAAATACGTAGTTATAATATTTTTCCAATATGCAACTCATACGCGGTGTCAAGTGCACACTCTTCTCAAGGAATTCTGAATAAATGTATTTTTAGAAATTCTGAGCCTCAGAATTTCAGAAGTTTAGATGGTAACTACAATGAAATGTTAACCTCATGAAATAAAAAAGAAACACAAACTATGAGGCCTGACTTATGTATTTAACCTGTTTTTCAGCATCAGAATAAAAAGGTCTTATTTGGAAACTCAGCTCTCACCAAGTATTAATATTAAGTGCTGTGGTGTTTTAGGTTGTTAGGAAAAGATTAAGTACATTCCATGGAAATAAATGGTTTGTAAGTCACACTGATTACTAACCAATAAAGGGAACTGAGAATAATAGCATTGTTCTCCTCATCTAAGTCTCTTAATATTGAAAGACAATCTGAATTTTCTTGTGGTGAAAAAATGTCTTCAATATACTAAGTTCTCCTGCATTAAAAACGACGTCACATTTTTTATATCTGATCATTTCCACACATCTTCCCTGTGATACTTAAGTTATTGTTTATTTTTTAACTACACTAAGGTTCAAACCAAATAGACTTGGTTCATCTCTTACCAACTACTTTGGATACATTTCTTGATCATTCTTAGCCTTAGTTTCGGTATCTACGAACTGAGAATGACAATGCCTAACATTATTTCTTGGAAATATGATTGTGATTATTTTATCTGGAGAGAAGATAAAGTTAAAAAACCACATACAAAATATTTTGATGTAGAATGCATCACTCTGAATAAATGAAGTGCAGATTAGTGAACTGGGCCCTAACACCTGGCCTCTGGTGGGAGCAATATCTTACTTATATCTAGGAACATTTCCCCATATGTAAAATAAGTCAAGCTGGCATTGAGAATCATACACCTGCTTTTCTTGTCTTGGAAGAAATTGGCTTTTCTCTTCTCTTGGGGAAATGTGGAGTTGCCTGTCTTCTGATCATGGTACAGGATACAGTTGGAAGGCTGAGGCCTGGTAACCTGATGTGGCTGCCACATAGACTTCATTTGTTCACAACACATTAAAGTCCTAGGGAAGCTCCCTTTAAAATAACAACAGACGATAGATGCTAGTATCAGCAATTCACAGTTTATTTCAGGTCCTTGAGTCTGTTGCCAGCTCAGATATTGAATGGAAAAAATCCAGTCCATGAACATTCTTTCTTGCATCGAAGGGTAGGAGAAAGGCAGAGCTGGGCAGCTGGTTTTTCAATTGATTATTGAATCTCATCAGTCCTCGTCTTTCTCCTTGTCTGATCCTGAATGCTCAGTGCCATGATCCATATGTGTAATTCCCATGCAGAGCTCAGAAGCACATGGAGCACCAAAGTGTGCAAGGTTGTGAAGGCTAAGGAAAGCTTGCATGAACAGAGACAAAATATTCAGTGCAACTGCTGGCACATACTAAGCATCCAGAAAATCACATAGATTCTCCTGCTAATATTTCACTCATCTATTTAACAAGATTTGTGTATTAGTCCATTTTCACACTGCTGATAAAGACATACCTGAGATTGGGCAATTTACAGAAGAAAGAAGTTTATTGGACTCACAGTTCCATGTGGCTGGGGAGGCCTCACAATCATGGCGAAAGGTGAGAGGCACATCTCACATGGTGGCAGACAAGAGAAGAGACCTTGTGAAGGGAAACTCTCCTTTTTAAAGCCATCAGATCTTGTGAGACCCACTCACTATCACCAGAATATTATAGGAGAAACTGCCCCCCATTATTCAATTATCTCTCACCAGGTCCCTCCCACAACACATGGGAATTATGGGAGCTACAAGATGAGATTTGAGTGGGGACACAGAGCCAAGCTTTATCAATTTGCTTACTAGAAGATTCCTTAATTAAACATTTTCTCCTTTTGTCTTAAAAATGTTTACCTTATGAGAAATGTTTATCTAAGTATGTTGAATGAACTTGGAGGTGATGGCAATCATGCTCGGATTTAAGATGAATATATTTTTATGTATCACTAAAAAGACATCTGCTTTTCAGTTTTAGGCAAAATGACTCTGGTTTGCTCACCTCTGCCATGCATCAGTATCTGTCAGTAGATTTTGAGTGTGGCATGCAGGTCACTGAGCTGCTAAGGGTCACCAGCAGGAGGGAGCCAAGTGCCAGGTGGAGCTCCTCCCTGGACAGGGGGAAGGGGACAACCCAGACAGAGTATCCAAATTGCTCTTTGGATAATCTTTTTAGGTCAGAGCTCTCTCTAGGGTACATTTTTTCCCAGGACATCTAATCAAGTGGAAAGTTATGACATGTCATGGTAAATGAGTTAGGGATTAAAAGTTTGGGGGTTGGGGGGAATGAAGAGCACAATGAAGAGCAGACCTGGACATAAGTATCAGAGTTCTAGTTTATGGTGCCAGTTGGGTTCCAGGTCTACACAGGGCTGTCAGACAGAGTGATATAAAAGGGTTCAGATGGATAAGCCACACATGTGTTCCAATCATGTGGATAAGCAGATGAGCTAACCACTCCACACACTACCCCCTTTCTCAGCAAAATGACACTAATTACATTGTGATGTAGTATTTCCTATGCTCCAGGAAGAATTAACATTAAAACTATTCATATGAACAATACTTCGATGTATTTTGTAAATAATATTCATTTTAGTCTTTACACTCTTATGAAAAATTAATGGATGTGTATTTTGAGGAGAAAAGACAACGATTAATTGAATTTACAAAACGTAATTAAACAAATTTATTTTCATTTTTAGTAAAATATTTGTTATCAACTCTAATAATGGATCAAAATCAAAGGCATCTTTAATAGGCTCTACTTTGTTTTATGTTAAATATCTTAAGTTTTTCATTATTCCCAGTTAAAGATTAAATGGAGGAAGGTAGCGATAAGAACAATTAGATAAAATATGCAAAGGGTCTAAATAGAAAAATGTTTATTTGGATAAAAATCTTCACTTTCTATAGATTTTCTCACAGAAGAATCCTACAAATTTTTTGTTTAGAGATTCAGATATTTGGGGTTTCATCTACACATATCCTATTCACTTTTATATTTCTCAAAGGGCAAGGTAAAATATAAATTCATTTTGTGATTTTTATATTTAAAGTTTACTAACAATATTTAGCAACACAATGGAATATGCCTTTTTGTGTCATCTTGAATATGCAGGAAAATAAATTCAACCCAACATTGGACAAGAGTTTTGCATTATTGATCCAAATATATTCTAGATTTCTGTAAGAATCTACATCCATTTGTTCAACATATAAAAACAATGCATGAGACTAAGAGCTAGATCAGAGAGATTCAATGTATTCCAGACATCATAAATCACATAATCTAAGAAGCAGGACAGAATTTAAACAAATTAGCTACATTTCAGCAAATGAAAACATTTATCATAATCTTGAAATACAATTAGGAGAGCCAAGGAAATTGCCCTTATAAGAAGTGATTTTAAGTGAGTTTTAAAAGATAAGGAGGTGTTCCACACATGAGTGAAACAAAAAGGAAAAAGATCAAGGTTTAAAAAAGACACTGTCTTCTAGTGAGTGTTCAGTTAGAGAGGGCAGGATGGGAAGTTAGAAGAAGCCACAGAGGTAAGGAAGAGAAAAAAAGGATTTGAAGAAACAAAACAGGACTTCTGAGTAATAAATTCAAGGGAATGGAGTGTAAAATGAAGGAGACCTTGGTAGAAACTGCCCACTGTTACAGAGAGAGCTAAAGTAGTATAGATGTGCAGAGGATTACACTGTATTTGGTGATATAGACAGCATTTGAGACCTTAGAACCATCATCTTATCATTGACTGAAAAGTAGGTGGAAAATAAGACAATGAAGACACATTTATACAACTCAAGAAGTGTAGCTATGAGAAGATTAGAAAAACGAGATTGAAAGAAAATAATGGTTGTTTTTGTTTTGATTCACTTTGTATAGTTCCAAGAATGCAATACTATTGCTATCTTCCTTATACGACGGGAGCTACAACAAATAAAACAATTTAAACGTTAGTAAATCTGTTGAAAGTTTGTCTTCTTTCTAATTAACAATTTTATTATATACAAAACACTTGCAAGTTATAAAACTTAAGCATAATTATGAGATAATGTGATTACATCTCAACATTTTAATGTCACATAAAATCTAAAATGTTTTCAATAGACGTTAAGCCTTCCAATCTAACTCCATTATTCAAATTGACTTTAATGGTTCACAGCATATGCTGATTATTTTTTCTGCTTTTAGCAAGAGTATATGAGGATATTAAATAAAATTCAGTAGAAACTAACTCTCCTTAAGGAAGGAAGTTTTGTCTAACCTATAATTCTGTCAGATTAGATAGATTAACAACCTGTGTTTTAGCTGAAATATAAACACTGGATTTGGGTGTTGGAAAAAATAAAAACTTTCTGAACTAGCTTCTACCAGACTAGAATTTTTTAGACTGCCAACTTAACAAGCGGTAAAACTAAAAACCAATAACACTTTGAAAGGATACTCAGTTCTTTGGATGAAGTGTGCCAAACTTGTTTATGTCAGTAACCACTCATGTTAAATTAAGACTAAGCTGGGAAGTTTGTTTTATCACTGTGACCTACGATTGCCAAATTTCTCAAAGTTCAATATTCTCTTTGCATTAGTTTAAATGGTTATCTTCCATTAGTTATTAAATACTTGCTACGTCATTACACATTTAGTAATAATCACTGTCCTGGCACTTAAGATAATTTCATCATGGCACTGAATCAGTCCACTTTATATGTTATTTTCCAAGATCATAATTCTTCTAAGATTCTGTTTACAGAATTAGATATTGTAACTATGAAGTAAAGCTAGTAGAGTTAATGAGTTCTAATATTAAAATTATTTGAGTGAGTTCAATGATAATTCTGAATATAATAAAGGTGAAAATTAATAGCTGATACTAGAATGAATAATTTAATAAATGATATTAGAAAAACTAGGTAGCCAACGTTAATAAAAATGAAGACTTCTGCTTAATTTTTTTTTACATTGAAATGATTTCTGGATAGATCAAAACTTTTAAAGCTAAAAATAAATCTAGTTTTCTAGTTTCAGCTCTGATATGTAAAAATATAGGAAGCTGCTATTCTCATCCTTACAATAAGAAAACTCTGGACAAAAAGAAAATTAACAAATTTTCTAGAGCTATCAGATCACCAAATTGACACCCCAGGCACATCCAGACCCGGTTACCTGGAGCAGATGCATGCAGTGCCATAACCTGGTAGAAACACATAAATTGTAATTTAAACTAATTTCTGGAGATGAAATATGAACTTGACCAAGAGTAAGAAACTTCTTGGACCTTAGGAAATTCCCTACACATTTGTGGCCTTTACCTCAGGAACCTATCAGATTCTCACAATGAAGATCTGAGAACAACCCCTCCAGGCTGTAACAGTTTGAGGGGAAGAGTAATCATTGAGAAAGATGCCTAGAGCACTCCTCATGACAAAAGCCAACTCTCAAGAGGTTGTGGCATGGCGGAAATTAGAGAAATACCTTTGCCTCCTACTCCAGGCCCTCCAGCCCCTTTGTGTCACCTATGGGGAAAAAAATACAGTCATCTGTAAGTATGTACCACAGGAGTAGGAGGTTGAGAGGGGGAAGGAGAAATTCCCTGGATGCTCAATTCTTTATATCAAATAAAATGGTATTTACATTAAACCTACACACATTCTCCTTTATACTTTAAGTCTCTCAATTATTTACAATACCTAATGCAATGTGAATGCTATGCAAATAGTTGTTATATTGTATTGCTTTTTTATTTTTATTATTTTTTATTGTTGTCTTGCTATTTTTATTTTTCAAATCTTTTCAATCCATGATTGGTTGAATTGAATCTGTGGATGCAGAAACCCTAGATATGGAAAGCTGACTGTGCAAGGGGACTTCAAAAAGTTCATTAAAAAATGGAATTAAAAGATAAAAATATAAATGTTATTTCTCAACATAAGCTCCATGAAGTTCAAGACACTTTTGTAACTGATGATACCAGCCATTTGGTTGATCCCTTAAGAAGTGAGGATCCTGGGAATTTAACTATGTCAATACAGTCTTCTTTATATTATTAACTGAAGAAAAATATGCACCATTTAAAGATTTTTATTAGAAAAAGAAGTGAGAAGGAGCCAAATCAAGACTGTAAGGTGGATGCCTAATGATTTCCCATTGAAACGTTTACAAAGTTGCCCTTGTTTGATGAGAGGAATGAGCAGGAGCATATTTGTGATGGAGAGGGGCTCTCTGGCAAAGCTTTCGTGGCCATTTTTCTGCTAAAACTTTGGCTTTCTCAAAAAATTCTCATAATAAGTAGACATTATCATTATTTGGCCTTCCAGAAAGTCAACAAGCAAGATGCCTTGAGCATCTCAAAAAGTGTTGCCATGACCTTTGCTGTTGACCAGTCAGCTTTTTCTTGGACTCATTTACTTCTACCTCTTGGTAGCCATTGCTTTGATTGTGCTTTGTCTTCAGGATCATACTAGACAATCATGTTTCATTTCCTGTTACAATTCTTTGAAGAAATTCTTCAGGATCTGGATCCCACTAGTTTAGAATTTTCATTGAAAGCTGTGATCTTGTCTGCAGCTGATGTGGGCACGGAAGTTTTACTACCCATCGAGTGATAATTTGCTCAACTTTAATTTTTCAGACAGAGTTGTGCAATCTGAACCAACTGAGATTTCTATGGTGTTGGCTATTGTTTATGCTGTCAATTATTGGTCCTCTCCAATTAGATTACAAACAAAGTTAATTTTTTTCCCACAAATCGATGTGGACAGTCTGCAGCGATGGTTTTCATCTTTAACATCATCTTTCCCCTTCTTAAAACAGTTATCCATTTTAAAACTGCTAATTTATTTGGGGCATTGTTCCCACAAACTTTTATAAAGCATCAGTGATTTCACTATTCCCACCCCCCTGGCCAAGGTTGACCATAAATTTAATGTTTGTTCTTGCTTCAATTTTAGCACAATTCATGTTGCTCTGATAGGGGCTTATTGAAAACCGATGTATTATCATTTTTAGTGCCTCAAACTCAATCCCATTTGGACATGTTATAATAAGTTAGTATAAGTTTATTTTGGTGCAATAAAACTTTGAAATTCATGCATAGTTTTTCATTTTTTATAATACGTATTTTTTCCTGAGCATTTTAAACAGCCCTTATATATTCGCCAGGGAACAGAGCTTCGCAAAATTAGAAAATAGTGAAAAATTCTTCCACCAGGAAAAGTAGTAGAGAAAAAGGAGGAAAAGTTAATAAGACTGAAGGAGGGGAGAAAATCACTTGTGAAGCTGCACAATATTAAGTCACAGGCCTATTAAATGGCTGAGTCTTAGTCTGCAGTTTATAGAATGCTCCTTTTTTCCTATTCTACCATCAACAGGGCCTCGGTCTAAAAGGAATGAATTGCAGTTGAAAGGGCAGAAGATGTAGACTCTCTGAGAAAGAGTACTTAGATAAGCTCAAAGTTAAGGAAAGAGACAAAAATTAAAGCTCTAGAAAAGTTTCAGGCCTCTAAAACTTACAGCTACAACACATACTAAGTCCTGGCCACCTCCTGACAGAGTAAAATGATACTCATGATAAAGGCCTATTTAATATTTCTGTAACCTTATGCAACATGTCTGGCTTTCAGGAAATTAAACTGCACAACTTGGCAAAAGGCAAGAAAAACGTACCGTAAGAAGACAAAGCACACATCAGACTCAGACTCATTTATGACACAGATTTTGTGCTAACCAGACAGATAATTTAAAATAACTCTGAATAATGTGTTAGGAAATCTAATTGAAAAGGAAGATAACGTAAAAGGACAGATGAGCGATGTAAACATAGAAATGGAAATAATAAGAAACAAAAAGAAATCATAGAAATCATGTATTTAAGCAGTAACAGAAATGAAGGGTACTTTTTACTGGCTCATCAGGAGATTTGATACAGCCAAAGAAAGAATCAGTAAACTTGAATATAGGTCAATACAAACTTTTCAAGCTGAAATGTAAAGAGAGAATGAAAAGAAAAAAAAGTATCCTCCCCTTGCCAAATCCAAAAATATAACAGCATATCCAAGAAATGTGGGAAGGTATCAAAAGAAGTAATATACATGTAAATGAATATTAGAACAAGAAGCATAAATGAATAAAGCAGAAAAAACATCTGAAGTAACGACAGCAGGGAACTTTCTAAAATTAATTTCAGTCACAAAACCGTAGATTAGAGAACCTCAGAAAACACCAATCAAGAAAAATACCAAAAGGTACACCAAATTATATCATATTTAAACTTCAATCAAAGAAAGAAAAAGACAAAATCTTGAAGGGAGCCAATGGGGTGGGAAGAACACCTTAACTCCAAAGAAACAAAGATAGGAATGACAGCAGGCTTCTCTTTGAAAACAATACAAGCCAGAAGACAATGCAGCAATACCTTTAAATGATAGAAAAAAATTTTATAAAGAAAACTGTTAACCTAAAATTCTATACCAGCAAATATATCTTTACAAATGAAGGTGAAATAATGACATTGTAAAACATACAATATATGAACTAAATTACCACCGGAAGGCCCAAATTTTAAGAACTATGGAAAGGAGTCCATCAGGCAGAAAGAAAATGACACCAGTTAAAAATATCTATGAAAATAAATGAAGAGGACTGGAAATGATCTACATTTGAAGAAAATTATTATTTGTTTGCATTATTTTCAGTGGTTATACCATGTCCATAAATTCTACAAAGCAAATTATGAGTAATTGCCATATGAGTTATCTCACATTTTTAATTATTAAATTCCAGATGGAGGCCAATTTTAAAAATTACATTTATGAATATTTATTTATTTATACCTTACTTAAAAACTTGCTGGAATAAGGCAGCTTCTCTACTTGTTTACTTAAGTTAAATACATGAAAATCATTTTTCCCCCAGCGTTTAATTTGCCAAACTATTTTAGAAGTCCTATGAATGTTCCTAAGAGTGAAGGAATCAACTTGCTTCATATTATAAAAATGAAGACACATTTCTCTAAAACAAAACCAGAAAAATAAGAAGTGAACTATGAAAGTAAATTATTTTAAATACTCTATTTAGATAAATTCCCATATCATATCCTGCACTTATTTAGAGTGTAAAATTCAATGTTTTCCAGTATATTTCATGGAAAGAATATTTTTTGTGTATATTTCACAGTCATGCATCACTTAACAACAGAGGCATGCTCTGAGAAATGCATCATTAGGCAATTTTTCTTATTGTATGAATATCATAGAATATACTTACACAAACTAAGGTGGTATAGCCTACTACAAACCGAGGCCATATAGTATAGCCTATTGCTCCTAGGCTACAAACCCATACAGCATGAGACTATGCTAAACACTGTAGGCAGAAGTAACACAGTGGTAAATGTTTGTGTACCTAAACATAGAAAAGTACAATATTATAAACCTATGAGACTGCCATAATATATGACGTCTGTCGTTGACTAAAACATTATGTCGTCCATGACTACATGTGTAGCCATCACCACAGTAAATTTAGGACGTTTTCATCACTTCACAAAGAAACCTCATACCTTTTAGTTATCATCCCCTACTCTTTATACCCCCAGATTTAAGCAACCACGCATATACTTTCTGTCCCTATAGATTAACCAAACTTAGACATTTCATATAAATATAATAATACAAAAGGTGTTTTCTTTCGTGAGGAGCTTCTTTATTTAGTGTGATGCTTTCAAAGTTTATTATGTTGTAGCATGTATCAGTATTTCTCGGTGTACATTTGAGTTGTTTCTGCATCTTGGATATCACAAGTATGTTGCAAAAAACATTCATTTACAAAGATTTTTGTGTGTAGACAACATATGTGCTATGGTTTGAATGTGTCTCCCAAAGTTCATGTGTTGTAAACTGGATCCCCAATGCAACAGTATTGAGAAGTGGGATTTTTTTTTTTTTTTTTTTTTTTTTTTTTTGAGATGGAGTCTCTCTCTTGTCGCCCAGCCTGGAGTGCAGTGGTGTGACCTCAGCTCACTGAAACCTCTGACTCCCGGGTTCAAGTGATTCTCCTGCCTCAGCCTCCTAAGTAGCTGGGATTACAGGCACCTGCCACCATGCCCAGCTAATTGTTGTACTTTTAGTAGAGATGGGGTTTCACCATGTTGGCCAGCCTGGAGAAATGAGAATTTTAAGAGGTGATTAGAACATGAGCACTCTTACCTAATGAATGGATTAATGTCATTTTTTGCAGAATTGGGTTTGTTGTCAGAAGAGTGAGTTTCCTATAAAAGCAAATTTGGCCCCCTCTTGGTCGTGCTCACACTTCTTGCCTTTCCACCTTCTGCCATGGAATGACACAGGAAAAAGGCCTTCATCAGATGCCAGCCCCATAACCTTGGATTTCCAGCCTCCAGAACTGTATGTAATATATCTTTGTTTTTTTTTAAATTAATTACCTAGTCTGTAGTAATTTGTTATAGCAGCATAAAACAGACTAAGACAATAGATTTTCATTGATCTTGGGTATATACCTAGGAATAGGATTGATAGGACATATAATAACTTTGTTCATAGTCATTTGAGGGACTTGACAGGTTATTTCCCAAAAGGGATGAACTATTTCACATTCCCACCAGTGGGAATAAAAGAATTTCAGTTTATCAGTATCCTCACCAACACTTATTCATTAGGTGACTTTTTAACTATAGCCATACTAGTGGGCATCATGTGGTACCTTGTGGTTTTGATTTATATCTACCTGATAACTAATGGTGTTGACAATTTTTCCATATGCTCATGGGCCATTTCTATATTATTCTCATAGAAATGAAAACAGATAATTTTTCCATTTTTAAATTGGATTTTATTTATTATAGTATTATTTATTTATTATAATAAATATTTCTTTATTATTATATTTTATTTTGTTTATTATAGAGTTCTAAGAGCTCTTTACATATTCTGGATGGATGATTTGCAAATATTTACACCCAAACTCTAGGTTATCTTTTCACTTTCTTGATAGTGTTCTTTGAAACACAAAATTTAAAAAAAATATGAATTCTAATTTATCTACTTTTTCTTTTGCTGCTCGTCTTCTTGGTGCCCTATCGAAGAATCAAGTGCCAAATCCAAAGTCATGCCTATTTACCTCTATGTTTCTTCTAAGAGTTTTATAGTTTTAGTTCTCACATTTAGGTCTTTGATCTATTTTGAATTAAAAGTATTGTATATGGTATGAGATAAAGATCCACTTTCATTCTATTGCATTAGAATATAGACAAGAACATGTCATCTGTGAATAAAAGTGGTTCTACTTCATTTTCAATCTGGATGATTTTTCCTTCTCTTCCTTATCTAATTTTCTTTACTAGGAACTTCCATATAATTTTGTATAGAAACGGTAAAAGTGAATATCCTTGTCTTGTTCTTAATTTTAGGGAAAATTATTGCCTTCATAATTAAATATGATGTTAGCTATGTTTTTTTAGATGTTTTTCAATCAAGTTGAGGTTGTTCCCTTATATTCCTAGTTTTCCGAGTATTTTTATATTGAAGTAGTGTTGGATTCTGTCAGATGCCTTTTCTGCATCTATTGAGATGATCATGTGTTTTCTGTGTTTTATTCCCTTGATATAACGTGTTCTATTAGTTATTTTTAGATATTAAACCAATTTTGCATTCCTGGGAGAAATTCCAGTTGGTCACGGTGTATAATTCTTTTTATATGTAGCTTGGTTCAATTTGCTTATATTTTTTGAGGATTTTTGAATCCATGGGCATACTAAATATTGGTTTGTAGTTTTCATATCTTGTGATGTCTTTTTGGGCTTTAGAATCAGGATAATATTGGACTCATAAAATGACTTTGAAAGTGTTTCTCTTCTATTCTTTCGGAAAGATTTTGAAGAATTTATATTAATTTATGGAAGAATTTTGTGCTAGCAGCTTTTCTTTTCTTTGGAGCAATTTGTTATCTCATTGCCTTCTGGCCTCTGTTGTTTTTTCTAAGGAGTCAGTTGTTGATATTATTGGGTAAGTGATAAACAATTTTCTCTTGCTGCTTTCAAGTTTTTCTCCTTGTCTTTGGATGTCAGCATTTTTACTATAATATTTCTGTTTGTGAATATCTTTGTGTTTATCTTACATAGGATTTATTGAGTTTCTGAGAAGTGTAGGTAATCAATTTTTTTAGGAAATTTCAGTCACTATTATTTCAAATATTTTTTGCTGCACTTTTATCTCTATCATCTCATTCTGGTACTACAATGACAGGTATGCTGGTGTGCCTAGTGACATCTCACATGTCTCTGATCCCCTGCTAATTTTTCTTCATTCCTTTTTCTCACTTTTTTTTGGATTGCATAATCTCTATCAATATACTTCAAATTCAATAATCCTTTATTCTTTCATTTTACATCTACTTTTGAATCCCTCTAATGAGTCTTTACTTTAGTTATTATACTTTTCTACTCCAGAAATTTCATTTGGGTCTTTTTCATAATTTCTATATCTTTACTGCTGTTCTCTGTTTGATGTGACATTGTCATCATACTTTTCTTTACCTCTTTAGCCAAACATTGCTTTCATTTTTTTGAACACACTTATCATGACTATTTTGATGGCTTTGATTTTTTAAACCATCAGATTGCTTTCATAAGCAATTTCTGTTCTAATAACCATTCTTTTCTGATTTTTTTCAGTTTCACTTTTTTTTTTTTGCAAAAACTGTATATTTTAGATTATATCTTTGTTATGGTTTGGCTGTGTCCCCACTCAAATCTCACCTTGAATTGTAATAATCCTCATGTGTCAAGCACAAAGCTGGACAGAGATAATTTAGTCATGGGGTCAGTTTTCTCCATACTGTTCTCTTGGTAGTGAATAAGTCTCATGAGATCTGATGGTTTTATAAATGTAAGTTCCCCTGCACACTCTTTTGCCTATCTCCACGTAAGATGTCACTTTGCTCCTCATTTGCCTTCTGCCATGATTGTGAAGCCTCCCCAGCCATGTGGAACTGTGAGTCAAAGAAACCTCTTTTCTTTACAAATTACCCAGTCTTGGGTATGTCTTTATTAGCAGCATACAGACTAATTCAATATTGTAGCCCCTATGGACACTACCCCCCACCTCCAGGATTTGTTACAGATATTTAATGTTTTGTTTTGTTTACTATATTATTACTGTATCATTTTGTTTTGTTTGCTATATTATTACTGTTTTGTTTACTATATTATTGTATTTTAACTCATTCCATTTTCTATCATGTTAAGCATCTAGTATTGCTGCTGAGGAGGCACAGCCTTGGTTACATCTACAGTGACCATGGAATGACAGTGACCATGGATGAGTGACAGTGACCCTAGAATCAGGTTTAGCATGATTCTCTATGTCTCTAAACACAGCTAACTTGGAAGTTCCACTAATTAATTGCTGTTTTCTCTATAGTTATCAACAATGTCCTGAGGCATACATTGCCCAAAAGACAAAAACTGTCAATTTTATGCTCCTTAAGAGTAACAGTTCCTGAGGTTCCTGTTTGAGATTTGTTCTGGCCTCGGTCAGCCTTTCCTCTGCTGTCTTTTTCTCAGGCAAACTAAGCCTCTAGTTTAGCCTGCTTTTACAATGACTCTACCAATCTTCTCCCCATTGTCTTTCACTATAGCCACCATTGTTTTCGAGAGGAGTTTAGGCTTGAACTTCCACACGCTCTGTTGCAAATAAAGTGAATATTCGGAAAATGATTAGGCACTATCTATTTTATGGCCTAATTTGGCCCCAAGTATTGTCTCTGAGCAGAGGCCCAGTTCTGGAGCTGGAGTTGGGGCAATGGTGCACTTCTAACTAAATGACATCGCTTCTTTAGGAGCAAAGTGTTAAATAGAGGGAGTGCAGTACATCTCATGTTTCCTATGCTTGCTTCTCCTGACATAGAGCCAGTGTCTCACAAGCAGAAGGAAGGGCAGTTGGGGCTCCAGGGTTTTCAGCAGCACCATGCCCAAGGTATAGTCTCTGTCCCACAGGTGGGGGTGGGTGAAAAAAGAGAGCCCCCACCAGTCAGCTGCACGCACCTGGAACTTAACCTCAGGAACAAGTACCTAGGGCAAGATAAGAAATGCTGACATTCTACACAGCCCAGAAAGGCAGCCCTCCATCTGGGTACTGGCAGGAGAGAGAGCCCTGTGTTCCTGGCTATTGAAGTCTGGAGTGAGATTTCCATAATGCTGAGTTGGGAAAGGGAAGAGATGGAACCGATCTGGATTCAAATACCACAAACTCCTGCTGTTCCCATTGAATGTTAGTTGGTGTTCTTGAGTAAATGATTCTTCATTTGCTATATATTCATGGGACCATTTCCAGAGACTGTTAATGTTTGTTTTTTGGTAATTTTCTCTAGTATCACTGAAGAATGAATCCATAGAACTCCTTATGGTGTCATGCTGAAGTCTAATAGTGCAAAGGAACTCTTAATAGCATCCAGTGTCCAATTCAAATGAAAATATTATAGAAAATGCAAACTCAAATGGTTAAGTTTTGATCAGATTTGAGGAATTATAACATTAACTAGAAAGATGGAAAAATTAAGAACCAAAATGGATACTTTTGTATATTAATAATTCTTCTATTTGAAATTCATTTTTTAATCCAGTACCTTCCTTTAAAGGCAGCAAAGAAGTAGATAATGAACAAAAATGGCCTGTAATCCACTATAATAGAGTTCACAAAATCCATGCCCTTGCTTATAATCAAGTTCTTCAAGTCTTCATTGAGATTCAATTTATTTCAAATTTATACATAACTCTAACTATCTTAGTTATCTGGTTTGTTAAAAGCTGATTAAAGCAGATTAAAAGCAACAGTCATGAGGTTGAATAATCCTTACTGCTGCAAAATTTTAAAGCACAGCAAAATAGTTCATTTAGTGTAAGGAAAAAGGGTCTGCTTAATACAATAATTTCTTATTAATAATTTATAATTGTTATTGTTTGCCATTACTTTCAATGGCAATAACCGCAATTACTTTGCACCAGCCTAATAATAATGACTGTCTTGATATAAAAGTGATTAAAATATAATTCATGTATTTCTTTACAAGACAATTTTATATATATATATGATATACTTTTCAGAGACTGTGCAAAATCAACTAAAAAATTCTGATGCTTTATAGAGATTACATTTCAGCTCTGCAGAAAATTGGAATATCTAGAGCAACATATTCCTCAAATATTCCAGTAAGCTAGAACTTAATAAATTATTTTTACATTTTTTTCTGCCCACCCAGTAGCTCTAAAATGGATATATTGGGAAATAGATTGAAGCCACATATACAGTTCTGGAAATTTTGTTTGTGTGTCTCATTTAGAACAATTAAATAGAATGGAATATTTAGCAGTTTCCAGAAACAAAACAATTACTATAAAACATATGGAAATTATTAAAGTCCCTTTCTCTTTCAAAAAGCCAAATCCATTAACAGAGTTGTAGAACTACGGAAACATGGATATATGAAACTGAAATACACTTAAAGTGTATGGTGATCACATATTCAATTCAGCATTTAGGCACACTCTTAGAGGCTGTCTAAGTATGCCAAGCACTCGACTTGTACCATAAAGTCCATGCAGGTTACTGATACAGAGTCCTTTCCATGTCTAAGTACTTTTATTGTAGACATAGTCATAGGGAGGGAGGCAATATGGCTTCTCAGTGTGCAATGGATTAGGAAACAAATCAGAAGGCCCTTTCTGGAAGCATGTGCATAGGCAACAGCATCGAGTGACAGGTGGTTTAAGGGAAGATAGAGAAATTAATATAAATTGGCATAACTCAAAAAGTGTAGAAATTTTGGACCACGTGGGAAAGAACCATATAAGATTACATATGCCACAGCCCCTGAGAAGCTTCTGTTTTATTGAACTATGATAAAAACTAATGTTCTTCATAATGACCAAGAAAAGTTGAATTATATTCAGTATTCTCTAGGAAGAATGAGAAAATACATGTTAGGGGTTTTTTTTTTTTTTGCCAAATAAGTTAAAATAAGTTAAATCATCGAATAAATTTGCTGAGGTTGCCTCAAAAATACACATATATAAATTAATTGCCCATGAATGATATCAAGTAAATTAATTGTTTCCACATTTTGGGTATCACTTTCATGTCTTCTTTTCCAAATCTATTTCAGCTTCACTTTTAAATACAAGTATTAATTCCATAGATATGTTCCCAAAAAATAGAAGTGGAAGAGTAAATCAATATTTTTGTTTTACTAAAAACATTGTTAAATAAGTGGTCCTTTGGCTTTTTCAAACATAAACTTTGCTTACGTAATGTGACTATGACTCTACAGAGAAGCCCAAGATTTGAAAAACGCGCTCATAACCACGTATTCGATTGACATATAACTTGCAACCACATTTTTAATATCTCACTCTTAGTTATTGGTTTACATATTTATTATAATCTGACAATGAATTTTCTTCTTACAGGTCTATAAATAATGGTATGTCATTTAATCTATGCAACCTTAGATTTTATAAAATATGCCTTAGATAAATGTGAGTTATCACCACAGAATGAAGGAAAATCTCTAGCATGAAAAAGAAAGTCCAGAAAAACAAAGAGGAGAAAGAACTAATAGAAGATAGAAATTATGTCTGACACAGAAAAAACTACAAAACTGAGAGTTAAGAGAAAATGTTGCATCAATGTGAGAAGAAATAGGAAAGGCAATAAACAAATCTTACACATGCATACTGTATTCTAAAGTTTAGTGATAAGTTTGAAAGTGCGAGGAAAAAATAACTTGCACAAGGTGGGGGTTGTTCTCAAGACCTCTCAGGACTATGCCCTGGGCCACGGTTACTCATACTGGCTCATAATAAACCTCTGAAAATATTTTAAAGAGTTTAGTGTTTTTTATCAACATTAATTGGCACCCAGCATGGGGCCTCAAAGAAGACTCAGGACCCCCCAAAGTTCCAGTAATGACTAGTTTTGTCTAATATCTCTGTATTCATAAGTAATCTAGGTAAGCTATTTTAAAAAATAAATTAGGTAAATGTAATGGGATAAATATTTATAAATGAACTTGTCATGTAATTTTAAATCTTATGTATTTTTAAATTAAATAACATGTTCATTACATGTCTCGATCATTTCTAATTTAAAAAACATAGAAAACATTTTTCAAAAAAATTATAAAGTGGTTCTCATCTATAAATTACTGATTTGACAGACAACTCAAGAGTTCTTTCTTCCTAGGTTTTTGCATAAATTTAAGGTTGTCATTGGTAAACTGAGTTCTTTCACCACTTTATATTGTTCTCAAAGTAAGAACATTCCATTGAAAAAGAGCAAACAGGTATTATTCACTGGCAAGAAATGGAGAAGGAAAGGCTCTCACTCCAAATGCCTCTTATCCCTGAACAATAGAAAACATAGGGATTTTAGGGCCCGGATACAGGGCAGGAAAGGAATGCTGTTAGCATGTGCAGAGTGGTATTCCAGACACTCAGGCTCAATTCATAAACATACAACTTCAAGAACCAAGTCCAAAAAATGGCAGAGATTTTCCTTTAGGAGAGGATATTTTAGTATTATAATATGTTAATGACTGAAGGTAACCAGGGGTCCTCTGTTCCACTTTGTGCCAGTTTGCAGGGTCTTATCTCCCTCTGGTATCTGGTGAGGGGTCAAGAAACTCGGCGCCAGCCTGGGTAGCCTGGCTCTTGTAAGCAGCTGTGCTTATAAATACAGAGACTAAAGGAAAACAGTAAGAAAGGAAACTTTCCCAATTATTTTATCAGGGCTGCCCTGGTTACAAGGTTACTAAGAATAAAAATTCTAGTTAATATATAATTCTTATATGAAGTGTGCTAAAGTAAGATGTGTTATGATGAAAAAATAAAAAATAAGAAAGACATAAAAAGGTGTTCTGATTAAAAGGAAAATTATTTTCATCTATTTCAAAGGTTATTTAAAGATGTTTTATGAAACATGGTAAAAAGGAACCAGTAAATGAGAGAGATGTGAAGAAAGTTACAGATATGAAGAGATATTTTTAGTAAGGAAGGTTAAAAGGACAATACTTTTGTATGAGAAAGAATCTTGTGTGATACATTTTTGTCCTAAAAAAAAATTATGGGTTATTTAAGAAAGGGAAATTTAAGAAAAAACACAAAGTGCAAGTGTGCCGTAAATGGTCTGTGTAAGTTGGAATAAGTCTTATAAAAAGAGAATTTATGAAGGAAATTCTGTATGTAATTCCTTTGGCTCTAATTAAAAGAAATTATTTATAATAGCCTTCTAGAGATAGAACTTTGATATTAAAATACAGTAATGCAAAACTAAAGACTTGGTTAAAACAACAAGTTTTTCTTAAAATATTGATTTGCTGTTAATGAAATTGCGTTTTTAATTTTCAATTCTATAATCTGCTTCTGTTTTGAAAATTTTCAGATTGATATCTGATATGGTTTGGCTGTGTCCCCACCCAAATCTTATCTTGAATTGTGCTCCCATAATTCCCATGTGTTGTGGGAGGGACCCGATGGGAGATAATTGAATCATAGGAGCAGTTTCCCCCATACTATTCTCATGGTAGTGAATAAGTCGCATGAGATCTGATTGTTTCATAAGGTGTTTCCCTTTTGCTTGGTTATCAATCTTTTTTTGCCTGCCACCGTGTGAGAGACAGGCTTTCACCTTCCACGATGATTGTGAACTCCCCTTAAGCCACATGGAGCTGTGAGTCCATTAATCCTTGTTTTCTTTATAAATTACCCAGTCTCTGGTATTTCTGTATCAGCAGTGTGAAAATGGACTATTACAATATCTCAGAAGTTTAACTTCTCCTGTGCCCTTCTGTTTTCAGCTTTTTCTCCCTTTGAAGAGACTTGGGATAGTAACTCTGTCCTTCAACTTTTGTTGGCTCCTGTAACTTTTTTCCAGTTCTAAATCTGTTCTTACAGCCTATTACTGAAATGTTTCATCTTGAAGGTTTTAAGAAGGTGATGTTTTCCTCCAACATAACTTAATTCTGTACTTGTGGATTTTGTTAATATGTTTAGGGGTCAGGGGCCCTCTGAGGGTTCCCTGAAAAATCAACTCACAAAAGACAGATTGGTTGAAGAGAAGGCATGCAGATTTGTTTGGTGTGTATACATGAGAGTGTTCAAAATAAAGAACCAAGATACAGGGGAAATTGCTCATTTTAATACTTAGGTTCAACAAAGTACGCACACCCATGTAAAAAAATGATTTAACAAAAGGGTTTTGATATCGTTTGGATGCTTGTCTCTTCCAAAACTCATGTTGAAATGTGTGTGATTCCTTATGTCAGAGGTGGATCCTGGTAGAAGGTAATTGGATCATGGGAGTGGACCCCTTGTGAATGGTTTATCCCCACCAGCTTAGTGATAAGTAATTTCTTGCTTAGTTAGTTCACATGAGATCTGGTTGTTTAAAAGTGCATGGGACCTTCCACCTTGCTCTCTTGTTCCTACTCTCACCCTGTGTTGTGCCTACTTCTGCTTTGCTTTCCACCTTGATTGCAAGCTTCCTGAGGCATCACCAGAAGCCAAGCAGATGTTGGTGCCATGCTTGTACAACCTGCAGAACCATGAACCAATTACACGTCTTTTCATTACAGATGACCCAGACCTTAGGGATATCTTTAACGTCACACAAAAATGGCCTAGTACAGAAAACTTAGTGCTAGCAGACTGTGTGGGGATATCCAGAAAGGCCCATCTGTCTAGATCCTTCTTAATCTCCCTGAGCATGCATTTCCTTCCTTCTGGGCATGGGGCTTTTATAACCTACAATCCAGCGAGGAAGGTCAGATCATTTCTGTGTGACAAATTCTTACACAGACAGGTGGAGGAAACGTTAGTGTAATATTTTTAGGCTTTATGGCTGGCTTTGAAGAAAGGAATTCTGGTTTCTGGGACTTGCGCTGGGGAAGGGAGATTCTAGTTTCTGTGGCCAGCCTTGAGGGAAAATGAGACTGAGAGGAGGACAAGAGAAGGCCAAATAAAAACTTTTATTTCTGAGGCTGCTTCTGAGGCTTTTATTTTGGGGTATTGTTTTCTGAGCCCCAAAATATGTCTAATGTGTTCAATATAGCCAGTCAACTTCTCATAATGTTGCCAAGAGACACGTATTCCCCTGCTCAAGACCACTAAAATGTAACACTCGTTCATGACTCTGGACACGCCATTTCTGCGTCTGATTATTTCAGGTTCTTTTTTCATTAGGTTTGAATTCCAGATAATTCAAATGGGCTTCCCATAAGAAAAGCAGTCACACTACAGAAGGCTTGATAACTAGCCCAAGAAACAAAGATTCAAAGATTTTAAGATAATTCCTGTGCTTTTTGTATAAGGTTTTTTTTGTTTTTTTTTTTTTATCACTTAGGAAATTTAAATGTTAAGAACCTTAAGGTTTTCTTTGGGAGACCGATGCAGGCAAATCATGAGGTCAGGAGATCGAGACCATTCTGGCTAACATGGTGAAACCCTGTCTCTACTAAAAATACACACAAAAAAATTAGCCGGGCGTGGTGGTGGGCGCCTGTAGTCCCAGCTACTCAGGAGGCTGAGGCAGGAGAATGGCGTGAACCTGGGAGGTGGAGCTTGCAGTGAGCGGAGATCACCCCACTGCACTCCAGCCTGGGCGACAGAGCGAGACTCCATCTCAAAAAAAAAAAAAAGAAGAACCTTAAGGTTTTTACATCAATGTAACTTTGTATATTGATTTATTTTTTTGGGGAGGGGGTAGTCTCACTATTGCCCAGGCTAGAGTACAGTGGCAAGATCTTAGCTCACTCCAACCTCCACCTCCTGGGTTCAAGCAATTCTTCTGCCTCAGCCTCCCAAGTAGCTGGGATTACAGGTGCCCACCACCATGCCTGGCTAATTTTTGTATTTTTGGTACAGATGGGGTTTCACCATGTTGGCCAGACTGGTCTCTAACTCCTGACCTCAGGTGATTCGCCCTCCTCCGCCTCCCAAAGTGCTGGGATTACAGGTGTGAGCCACCACGCCCGGCCTGTATATTGCTTTTTAAGTCTTTTGATAATCACTCTGGTTAAATGAATAACTATTATTTTATAATGACCTGAGATTCTGTTTTAATCAAATGTTTTCAGCCTTTTAACATTCTTTGACAAACATCCTCAAAGTCAAACACTAAATGGAATCTGGCTTAGACTTACTGCTGGGGGCTTATCAAAACTATAAAAATTAATCACTGTAAGATTGTAGAATCTTTTTACAGCTTTCAATTCAGTCATAAACTCCAGTATTACCACTTCCAGTCGGTTGATTGGACATTAGTTAAGAGACTCCCTCCAGCCCCATTAAAAAGAGTTTTTAATCAAATTTTGTTAACTAATCCTTGTGCTGTTGAGTTGCAGGGCTTTGACTGCTGGATACCCCTATCTCATCTCAAAAGGAGCATCAGCTCCTACAGAATCTCAAACGTTAATGCTGGGATCTGGCACGAAGCTCAAGTTAACCGAAACCTCATCTTCAGATCTAGGACAAGAAGACAATTAAAAAAAGTGCTTTCGCATGACACTAGACCAGGCCTGTATACAAAGGCATAAATACTTATTTAATAATTTGACTTCTATCTAATTTGTTCTATGTCTTAATACTGAATAACTTGAATATTTAGCTACCTGTGAGTTTCCTTTTCTTGTCATTGTCAGAGCTACACAAGGCTTACGTCCTCTTATTCAAAACATTGCTGATTCTTTATGCTTTGTTTACCAGTGTAAATATATATATGTGTGTGTATATATGTGTGTATATATATGTATATATGTGTATATATGTATATGTATGTGTGTATATATATGTGTGTATATATATGTGTGTATATGTGTGTGTATATGTATGTGTGTGTGTGTGTGTGTGTGTTATATGTATTTGTTTCTTGTTTGAGCTACTTGTAGCTTACAAGAGTAGGTAAATCAACAAAGATTACCTTTCCCTGCTACCTGATATCTGCAAAGTTTAAAAACTATTCAGAATGCCACTAGACTTTATCTGCTTTTGTTGCTAATGCCTTAATGCTAAAGCTATGTAAGCAGCTCCCCTCTAGTCTCAGGGACTATCCCAGAAGAGGTGGCCATGTGATATTGTAAGGGCCAATTTCGAGGGATAGAATTAGTTCATACTCTTCAAATCAAGGACAGGCACGCACATGCTTAAACAGCTGGAAAATGAGGGACTTGGCTTCCTGGGCCATTTTCATCTCAACCATAAAACATGTCCTGCTTCCCATGACGGTTAAAAGAAAATTACCAAGAGGATATTAAGATATCTGGTGACAAAGCTTCCTGGGCAGAGTGCTCCCAGTCACAAGATCTATATATAGATATAGATATGGATATGAATACATATATTTATAAGCCACCTTAAAACAAATTTCTAAGAAGACTGCACAAAACCATTGTGGTACAACAATTTCCTCTAAATTCCTTAGCTTAAATGATTTTAACAAAATGATTATATTTTGTATAGCTAATTGCTACAAGTCTGTAATTAAAAACAAGACTATGGCAGCTCAACACATAAAATGTATAGATAAGTAAATTTTGTAGTCTTGCCTTTTGGCTTTTGGATTTTGTCTCTTATATTGCTTAAAAGATTTTCACCAACATGGCACACGTATACATACGTAACAAACCTGCATGTTGTGCACATGCACCCTAAAACTTAAAGTAAAAAAAAAAAATCAAATTAAAAAAAAAAGATTTTCAATGTTGATGAAGGCCTGCTCACCTCCCTTCCCATCTGTCCTAAAACATTGGTTACAAGTATTTTGGATTTAAGTCTCTTGGCCATAGGGCTCCCCTTGAGGAACAGGAAGGACATGGGGCAGGTAGCCATAGTCACACCACTCCAGCAACAATATGGAACAAAATAAAAGTTGGGCCATTCGTGTTGCCTCTGGCAAGTATTGGCCAGAAATCTTGGCTACTAAAAATAAAAAATTAGCGGGGCATGGTGGTGGGTGCCTGTAATCCCAGCTACTTGGGAGGCTGAGGCAGGAGAATAGTTTGAATCCAGGAGGCAGAGGTTGCAGTGAGCTGAGATAGCGCCACAGCATTCCAGCCTGGACAGCAAAGTAAGACTCTGTCTCAAACAAACAAACAAACAAACAACAACAAAAAACAGTCACAGAGCTGGCCTTTGAGTGAAGCCAATCTGATCCTTAAGGAAGTGACTATATGACTCCAACATGTTCCTGTCTTAAACATGTCACATTCAAAAATTTAATTGTTAAGAATTAGATTTATATAATATATGATTTTGAAAACTTTTTAATGAGGCATATGATGTATTTTAAACATCCTATGGATACTGGATAAAGGCAACATATGTGAAACAGTAGATATTTAAAGAGCTCTTAGTGAATGTTATTCAAATTGTCAAGCCAATATTGTCAACATGAGAGTGTTTAATAAAACAAGGAAAAGCAAAATACAGAGGGAACAATTTTTGTCAAGAGGAAAGAATATAATTTTGTAATGTTCTAAGATATTAACCAAATAGATTTCATGTTTGCTTTTCATTTCCCAATAGTATGCTAGTTGAAGATGATTAGGGCTATGTAAAATACATTATTTAAATAATTGAATTTTGTGGAAAGTTTTTGATCTATTTCTACAACAGTCTAGATTTTGAATTACCACAGTGAAACATGGTTTCTGGGACGATAAAATGTCAGTAAGGTGTTTCATTGTGTTGTCAGGTGTGAAGCAGAAAATAATCATGTTTTTAAGAACACTTCCTTAGGAGTACATTTTTCTTGTTGTTTACCTGAGTGAAAAATTATCTAACACGAATTATCTTTTCTTTCTTCTAAGGTAGAAGAGAAATGAAGTAAATAGGGTATATAGTAGCAGTCATTAAAAACTAGAGTCATCTAAAATATAAAATTTAGCATTTTAAAAGGAATAAGTGACTTCTGAATGATTTTACACTCATTTTATTATCAAGTATATTTTCAGGAAGAAGTTTTTTTGCTGTTTTATTTTAAGAAATAATCAATGTCTTCTCAATATTAGCTTCTTTAATAATGTTAAATTATTCAATCTCTTCTTTGATTATAGATTGGGAATACGAGCAAATCAATTTAACCAAGAAATCTGCACAAACTCAGAGCTTAAGTTTTGGAAGCTCCTTGTTATGTTGAAGCTTTCTAATTGTCAGTATATAAAACATTATTTTTAATAATCTCTAAGTCATTGAATTAATCAATTCCATCAATAATCACCTATCATCATATTGAAAGCACAGTATTAGACTCTATGGATGTTGAACAAGACTCACTTCCTAATTCGTAGTTCAATGGCAAAAGGATTAAAAAATAATTCATAATAACAATACAACTATAACCGGCTAGCAAAGGAAACCAATTAGGTTACGTTGAAAAGAAATGGCCTTTGTAGGAAGAACGCTGGGGAGCATAGAGACCAGGAGGAAGACCTGAGGACTTTAGCTTGTAAAATCCAAAGGACCAAGGGGTGGTAAGTTCTAGGGATGGAGTTGTCACACCCTGCTGCTGGCATTGAGTACTGGACAATTGCTTCTTCAGTACTGAATACTCAATGGGTACATCGCTGTTGCCATGAATAATACCTCATCTGCCCTTGCAACTTTGTGTTGCTCCCTCAAGTTTCAAAACCAGAGTGTGGTATAGATTTGGCTGATCTTACATGAAGCATCCCATGCCCTGGCTGTCAAGAAGGGAGAAAATATTTGCCTTATGTGGTCCTGAAGTAGAATCCAGGGGCAACGTTCTCATCATGAGGAGTCAACAGGGAAGCACCTGAGCAGATGGTGCTCCCGAAGGGAGCAGTGAAGTCCTGGGTGCTTCATGCTAGATTGAGGTATGTCCAGCTGTCATTCATACACATTTGCTAATAAAAAGAGAAAAACATCGTTTTTTCAGTGCCTCTTTCAGCCCCATTCCCACCTTCTCATTCTCTATATTTAACCATAAAACATATTAACTGCTCTTCCACAGCCTACTTTTTGTATTTAATATATCTTGGAGCTTCTTTCCTCTCAATTTCTTCATTCTTTTTAACAATTCCATATACTATTATGAATTAGTATAATTTATTTTCTTTAATTAAAATTATTACAATTTAAAGCAAATCAATAATATATTGATGCATATTTAATTTTTTCCCTCAATCTTTTGCCATCAGAAATAATTTTTTGCAATGAATATGTAAAGATCGTCTTGAAATTGTGTCTATTAATACAGCTGTCAGATTGATTCCCACACATTGAATTTCTGGGTTGAGAAATATACAATTTGTTATTTTGAAAAATACTGAGAAAATTTCCTCCATTGGTGTTGAAATTTTATTCACGTTAGCAGTTTATAAAAGAGCTCAATTTACTATCTCTCCAAAAAGAAAGTAACATTGAATTCTTGAGTTCTTGCCCATCTGATACACTTGCTTATTTTTTCTTGTGACTTTTCTTTTACATTCACTTATTGAATTTTGCCTAGTTGAAATGTGGCTTTTTACATTTTGGTTGTTACTGTTTATTAATGCAGTCAGACGTGTTAATCATTTTCTTTTTTGTTGTTGTTGAGACGAAGTCTCACTCCGTCGCCCAGGCTGGAGTGCAGTGGCACGATCTCGGCTCACTGCAACCTCCGCCTCCCGAGTTCAAGTGATTCTCCTGCTTCAGCCTCCCGAGTAGCTGGGACTACAGGGGCGCGCCACCACACCCAGCTAATTTTTGTATTTGTTTTAGTAGAGACGGGGTTTCACCATATTGGCCAGGCTGGTCTCGAACTCCTGACCTCGTGATCCACCTGCCTCGGCCTCCCAAAGTGCTGGGATTACAGGCATAAGCCACTGCGCCCAGCATCATTTTCTTATTGTTTCTGGGTTATGAGTTATTCTTAGAAAGGCTTTCCCTACCACACAATTATCTTCCAGAGCTTTCAAAATGTTATTTTTCACATTTAAATTTTGGAAGCAAATTTGGAAATAATTGTGATGTAAAGTGTGTAATGGAGTTCCAAATCTGGGTTTTCCACATGGATATACTATTATTCGCTTACTGAATGATCTACATAATTTGCTCACTGTTTGGGTGTAATTGTTATCCTATCCTAAATTACCATACATGTTTATTTCCAGATTTTAAAATTATCTTGTACTGGTCTGTTTGCTTATTTTTCTGAAAAATGAATTTCTTACCCACCAGGTTGATGACTTACTTCTTAGTACACACAGAAAGTCCTCAAGGCAAATTGTTTCACTGAATTTAGTTTTAACTGTTGAGTAATAACTGGTAATCTGAAAGTATAAGAAGTCTTGTGAGAAAGCTACGTGTAGTGAAGGTTCCCGCCCCCCCCCCCCGCCAATCTGTGCATTATCAGCCATTCTAAAATTTTTAAAATTATCACACGGTGTATCTTTTTAAGGTTACAATGTTGACAGCTCCTATTCAAATGCAAATGTTAAACTGCTTAAAAGTTTTTTTTAACAAAATACAATGTAACAAGAAGGAAACCTTAGACAAAGCAGTCAAAATCCAGATAGATTACATTATATTCAAGGACCGAGAGAATCATCAGGAAAAGTCTCCTGTTGTAAAAGAGATTATGCCTCTCTGTTCCCTATCTATTTACTTTCAAGAAACCATAGTAGATTAATCTCATGGCAGCCTGCCAAGAACTGTGTCAGGAGCTCAGTAGAGGTTCAATATATTTTTTTTAAAATAAGAAATATTGTATTCAGCCCAGGGATTGGTGTCTACTGCTACCAGGGAGAGTTAGGGAATTGCTAGACTTGTACCTTCCCTTTATCATTCTTACAAGTTACATAGGCAACCTGAATTCCAATTCAAAAACTCAAAACACATTCTCTAGAGCAGGGGCACAAACATAGAAGATATATCTGATGACAAACCACAAGCTTTTTGATTGCAGCTCTGACGGTGACTTTTAAATGAGATGTGTCTCAACCCCAACAAATCTGAAAGACAAAGCTTCTTGTTCTGTGTGTCAAAGTTCATTTGTTCATTGTTCATTTGTTATGATATGAACAGTATCTGAGTCCTTAAAGAAACAGCAGGAGGGCTTCCTTACTTAAAAGAGATTTTTTTTTTCTCTTTTCCTCCCTGCCACGAATTATATTTTACTATAGTTTCCACATGATTTTTATTGAGGTATTATTTATATACAATAAAACATAGGCACATCTTGTTTTAGAATTAACTTTATTAATGCGTAATGACATAAAATAAAAATTAAAGAGTACATTTTAATACGTTTTGACAAACATATATACTATGTAATATCCCCCCTTTGCCACATACATACTCAAAATCAAGATAGAGAATATTTCCAACATTCCCCTAAATAACTTCTGGCTTTTTTGACTCCTTTGAAGTTGATTATGTAAAGCCCCTCCAGGTCCCTGACCCCAGGCAACCACTTAATCTGCTTTTTGCCAGTATAGATCAGCTTTGCTTTTCTAGAATTACGTATTAATGGAATCATAGAGTATGTATTCTTCTGTCTTGCTTCTTTCCTTCAGCAAAGCATTTTTGAGATTCATCCATGTGGCTCATTATCGTGTCACAAATCTTTTGCGAGGAGGTGCCCGGTTATATCTCTTGCCCCTCTAAATGGAGTTTCTGCTATATTAAGGGGTAGACATTGTATATTCTGAATTCCAGTCCTTTGTCAGATGTACGTATTGAAATATCTTCTCCTTTCTGTAGCATGCCTGTTTACATTTTGCTCTTGAAAAGTTATTATTATTGATAAAGTGTAATTTATTATTTCTGTTCCTTTTAGTGTCCAACTAAGATGTCTCTACCCATCTCAAATTTTAAAAATATCCCCTATATTTCCATCTAATTGCTTTATTGATATATATTTTAGGTTTAGTTTTAAGATCTACTTTTAGTTTAGTTTTTTTTTTTTTTTGGTATGACGTGAAGGAAAAAATAGTACTTCACTTGTTTCCTCCCAAATGATATCCAGTTGTTCTGGCACAATTTGTTGGGAAAGCTTTTGTTTCTCCATTGAGTTACTCTGATGACACCTTTGTTAAAAATCAATCATCCATGTATGTCTGGTTCACATTTTAGATTTATTCTAATCCATTGATATTAGAAACCTAGCTGCCTTTATTACTGTAGTTTGTTAAATTCTGATATAAGGTAGTATAAGGCTAATGTTTCTAAACTTGTTTTACTGTTGCAAAATTGTTTTGGCTATTTTATGTCCTTTATATCCGTACATATTATTTAAGGCCAATTTATCATTTAAAAAATACTACTGGGATTTTGATTGGAATTGCATCGAATCCATACATAAATAGAGGGACAAATGATATCCTAACATTTTCCAAACTAGAAGCATGCTATATATCTCTATTTATTTAGGTCATCTTTAATTTCTCTTAGCAACAATTTATAGTCTTTATTGTGCTTTTTTGTGATTTTGTATATATTTTGTTAAATAATCCCTCAGTATTTCATGTTTTTGATGATGTCAGAAAAGGTGAAAAGAAAACATGAGGTTATTCACAACTAGTCCTTAATAGCTATGAACAGAATAATTATTGTATATGTGAATTTACTTGTATTATCTTGGCATTAATGAGTTTAATCTGATTTTTACACTGTCACAAGCTTAAAACATCTTATTAAAAATTAAGAGTGATAGCGTATTCCAAATACTTCTTTTTAGTAGAATATTCTGTTCTGAACATACCTCTAGTTTTATAGTGCATGCATGCACACACACGCACATTTTTTAAGTCAAATTAAGGTACCATAAATAGAAATGAGTATCAGACTTACACTCTAAAAATTCTAAAAACGTACTATTCTTCTGCAAAGAAATATACTTCAAATGTCACCCAAAGAGGAGCACAGCATCCAGAAAAGCAAAGAAAGATGACATTGCAGTATTATTCACAATAGCAAAGATACAAATCAACCTAAGTTTCCATGGGTGGATAAATGTGATCTATATACACAATGGAATACTATTCTACCTTAAAAAAGAAGAAAATCTTGTCAGTTGTGAAGACATGGATGAACCTGGAGAACGTTATGCTATGTCAGATAAGCCAGACACAGAGACACAAATACTGCATGATCTTACTTATATACGGAATTCACAGTAGTTAAACTCATAGCAATAGAGAGTAGAACAGCGGTTGCCAGGGTGTGGGAAGTGGAAAAATTGGGGAGATTTTGATCAAACTTTGAGTCATAAGATCAACAAGTTCTGAGAATCTAATGTACAGCGTGGGTGGTGATGAATGTGTTTACTAATTTGATTGTGATAATAACCACAGAATGTACATGTATACCAAATCATCATTTTGTACACCTTAAATGTATACAATCTTTCTTTGTTAGTTAATTTTTTTCTTTTTTTAGAAAAGAAGAGTGTTATTCAACATAACCTCCTTGATAAAAGCCTGGAATGATAGTTCCAATATATTCCAAACTATAACATGCTCAGTTTTTTTCCTGTACCGAATGACTATAGCAATGACTAAGCTGCATGCTTAATAAGAGGCAGAAAGATTGAAAATTTAATGGTTTAAAAACTTGAATCCAGGGCTTCAACATTTGGTGAAAACTGAGAGGGAAAGAATGTTAATATTTTAATTCACAATGATTAAGCAAAGAAAATATAATAAAAATTGTAAGGATTTATAAAAACTTCAGATTATTAATGGTCTGGTAGGGATAATGCAAAGAACCTGTGATTCTTGAGGAAGAATACTGATCTTAACAAAACATTGACATCTACAATGTGTTTGTCACAAATTCCATGGCATAACTGACAGACTATTTGGGGGCATTGTGTTATCTCTAATTATTTTAATTAAGGAGTAATTTATAAAATATTTACAACTTCAGAAGTGACGCATATTATCATAGATATTTATAGTCTAGGTTTAAAATCCCTCTTAGCATCTGAAATAGCAAATTATACTTTTTACAAGTATTCTGAAATTGAGAAACAGTAAAGTGTAATAGAAATGTTTATATTGATGAAAAGTTATACTTCCAATTAACTTGTGCAGCAATTCGAACACTAATGGTTAAATATTATTTGTTTTTGTGGAGTGAGAGGGTTGAAGGAGAGGGTCACAGAAGGTAATAATAAAATTACTACTTATTATATAGCTTATATAACACTGAATTCTGTCACATAAAAAGTGGAATGTCAATGTTACTGTGCTCCCCTCCAAGAAAATGATATAAAAAATGTGTCGTCATTCACAAATGTAGATGAGCTGGGCAAGAGTCAGCAGAGAAGTTCTTTATGGTTTCCATGCAGAGTCAGCCTGTTTCATTATTGACTGCCTAAAAATTGATGTCCTGGTTTAAAAGTCTGACCAAGTACTTTATGTCTCCTAGATTACTTTAAAAAGGAGGGGTCGTGGGAAGAATAGGAGGAAGTGAAGGCCATTAGTTGTTGGCAAAAAGCAGAGTATATAGCAGCAAGCTAAGTGGAGTGGTTGTAAGATAACTGTTAGACACTTACAGTTTATCAGGAGGTTAATTGGAGAAAAGAGAAAATAAATCACTAGCATAGAAGAGGGGACTAGAGAAGGACATTTACAAAGTAAGCAAAGTGCAAATAAAGTGCAGAACAGGAGAGAGAGGGAAAGTGTCATCCTAATTTCCTGGAGATGGAGAATTGTGAATTAAGAAATACCCACCAAAACTGATGAAATTAACATTTTTGAATATAAACACTTATGGTTGGTTCAAATACCTAATATAAAGAGCATCAGACAGAAACTATACTGAAGTAATTTTGAGTGTTTGAAAGGTCTACAGCTTTAATGAAATGAAAATTTTGATATGGGGATTTTTAAATATTAATCTATCATTGCTTTAAAATCTTACCATATGCAGTAATGTGAATCATCATTAATATTAGTCATCTTTTTCCAATTCACAGATCCCTAACATTGCTTTCATTAAATGAACATTGCAGATAAGTCAGTGACATTTTCCTTCCAAGGTCTAGTTGGATACTGTAAATAAATGACCTGAAAGTCACCTTAACTTTGGGTAATGCTCAGATCAAGCCAATATCTGAAATACAAGAATGCATTTTCATGCATTAAAGAAATAACCATAAACTCAAATATCTAAAAAGTCACAACCTTTCCTTCGGGGTTAGAATGAAGCCTTATTCTCTACTTCCTTTTTAGTCAGGGAGAAAAATATCTTTTTATTTTTTACTTCTCTTGAAAACTATTTTGAAGTGATCTTCAGCACTTACGTAAACAATCTCAATACCTGCTCAAAAGTTAATTTCTCGGGACCTTCTGAGATTCTATTAAAATTAAGTGCATAGTTGTCTTATAGTACTAAACTTAAAAATTATTTCTTAGAAAATGGAATGTGATAACTGACAACTTTAATGTTTATTGATTACTACATCTCCCGATGAAAAATCAAATATATTATTTCTGATGTTTGTTTTAGAAAATTTCCCAGAAGATACACAGAAATTTGAAATAGCAATTCAATTTAGAAAAAAAAAAAAGAAGTAAGGAAGAAAAGATAAATAAAGAGAGACAGATTGAGGGAGAGTGAGGGGGAGAGAGAGAGAGGAGCAAGAAAGACTGAAAGACAAAAAGAAAGCAAGAGAAAGGGAAAGACAGAAAGAAAGAAAGAAAAAGGAAGAAAAAAAGAGGAAGGAAGGAAGGAAGGAAAGAGAAGAAAAAGAGAAAAGAAAAAGAAAGAAAGAAAAGAAATAGAGAAGAAAAAGCGAGAAAGAAAAAACAAGAAAGAAAAGAAAGAAAAACAAGAAAGAAAAGAAAGAAAGAAGAAAAAGAGAAAGAAAGAAGAAAGAAAGAAAGAGAAAGAAATGAGGGAGGGAGGCAGGGAAGGAAGGAGAAAGAAAAAGAAAGAAAGAAAGAAAGAAAGAAAGAAAGAAAGAAAGAAAGAAAGAAAGAAAGAAAGAAAGAGAAAGAAAGAAAAGAAAAAAGAAAAAAGAAAGAGAAAGACCAACAGGGTAATATAGCATGGAGAAGTGGCAAAGACAATGGGCAAATCTTGGGTACGCCATTTAGTGTTTTTATGACTCTGGGAAGTTCTTTGCTTCAGTTTCCCCTTGTGTAAATGAAGATATGTTCATATGTAATTTATGGTGTGACAATTTTACAAGATAATTAATGTCAAGTGCATAGAATAGTAACGTCTGCATATGAGTGTGCCCACATACACATGCGGGGACAACACATATTTTCTGCTACTATTGGCTAAAGACAGACAAGGGCTGCTGACTAAATTATACTTACAAATAACAAAACTAACTAGAATAATTTTCAGTTTAGAGATTCACAATAGGTAACAAAACTTAACATTTTCTCCTAATTTGTGAAGTCAACCCGGGATGTAGGTCTATGAGAATATGCAAAAACTGTCTCCAGTAATCCTGACGTAGGAATAGTACTGCCCGGTAGGATCTCCCGTGATGACATACGTGATCTACAATCTCTACTGTCCAGTTTGGTGGCTACTAGCTTCATGTAGCTCTTGAGCCCTTGAAATGTGGCTAGTACAACTAAAGAACTCAGTTTTTAACTTTAATTAATTTAAATTTAAAGAAAAAATAGAGAAGAAAAAGAAAATAGAGAAGAAAAAGCAAATAGAGAAAGAGAAGAAAAAGAAAGAAAGAAAAAGAAAGAAAGAAAAGAGAGAGAAGGAAGGAAGGAAGGAAGAGAAAGAAGGCTCATGTGTCTAGTAGCTACAATGTTGAACGTCACAGGTGTGTGGGATACAATGGAGACTTGGCAATATATTTTTAAATTGTTCTTTTTTTGACAGGTTATAAAAAGATTGCACAATCTTTTCAACAGTCATATTGTATAGAAACAATAAGGGAATAATGACTATAATTTAAAAATTTATAAGAAATACCCACTCAAAACCTTGGTAGATTTTCTTTAAGATTTTAATGTGTATGTATAAAAATTCTATGTACTTTTACATTTCGAATAATTGGTATTATAATGTACACACAGTTGGAAAAATCAGGGAATTTGGAAATATGAGTACTTAGTTCATTCAGTATATTTTGTGATTACTGAGTGTGTCTAAAAATGGAGACAAATTAATTTTGTATTTCAAGAAAAGATATAACCAACATCATACTCAAATTGAGAGAGATTACACAAAATGACTAATGAATACTCATCAAAATTGTCAAGGTCATGAAAGACAAGAAAATCTGGGGGAGCTGCCACAGATTGAAGCAATGTGGAATGCTGAATTGGGTACTAGAATAGAAAAAAAGAAACAATACATTAGGAGAAAAAAGTGGTGAAATCTGAATAAGATCTTGGTATGGTCTGAATATTTGTGCTCCCTCCAAATTCATATATTAAAATCTTAACTCTCAAGGTGACAGTATTAGGAAGTAGGCTTTGGGAAGTGAGTAGGTCATGAGGGCAGAGCCCTCATAAATGGGATTTCTCACCCCTTCCACCACTTGAGGACACAGCAAAAAGATGGTTATCTATGAACCAGAAAGGGGGTCCTGACCAGATATTGAATCTGTCAGCACCTTGGTCTTGTACTTCTCAGCCTCCAGGACATACAGTTCTGGTGTAAGGTGCTGACAGATTTCAGCAATAAAATTCTGTTGTTTATAAGACACCTAGTATTTTGTTACAGCAGCCAGAATAATCTGGAGATTAGTTCATAGTATGGTGGATGGTAATTGCTTTAAGTTTCTGCAAATTGTCACTACCTTCACTAGACAGTAGTGAAGTAAACAATGGGACTTTTAGTTGTTATTGTTAAACTTAGCCAGAAATTAGATCTTGAAGGCTCTAGAGCACCATGCTAAATGATTTTTATTTTGTCTTTAAGGTTTTGGGGAGGCAATATGGATTTTAAGCAGTGTCATCATAATTAGACTTTGAAAAAAGTCATTCTACTGAAATATGGAGAAAAATTAGTAAACTTATATGATTTATCAAGGAAGACCAAAAACAAGCTTTGGTAGGAAATTGTAAAAATATTTATGAACGCTAGTCTACTCCTATTACAGTGACAGTAATGTTTGGGGAGATGAAGTTCCAGAGATTCAAGGGGAAATAATTGGCATGCCTTATAAACCACCTAGATTTTAGGAATAAGAGTAGGTAACTGGTAGAATAAGGAAAAACAAGGCTTCTGACACAAATGGGCAATGGGGATTACCTTCAAATAAATAAAGGAGTTAAGTTGATGAGATAAAAGATCTATCAAGAATGTTGTGGCTATAAACCAAAATAGCATAAACAACAAAAATATGTCTAGTAGTCAGTTAATTACAAAGGATTATGTATCAAGGATAAAGTTATGCATGGACACGTGAATTAGAAGCTGTTAATAAATAGAGACTAGTTGAAAAATTTTGTTAATGGAAAGTGTACACCCCAAGAAGAGGTAAGAAGAGTGTTGAATAGCAATCACAGGATAGATTGAAGAAGCATCAAAGTGACATTAATGATGTCAAATGCTGATGATCATGCAAGACATTGACTCCATGACCTTCTCGCAAACAGATGTGGCCAAATGACAAGGATCCACACAATGTAATGAGGGAAAGGGCAAATGAGAGACAATAAAATCAGAGTGGCAACTGTAATTGATTCTTCCAAGAAGAGGCCAAGTCTGTTTCTATAGTTGAACACAATTGCTGACCTAGATTATTTTTAAACACGCTTAGTGACTCTAAAATCTCATAAAAGTGATTTTGGTGGAGCCATTGCGTTGTTTCCCTGTAAGATATATATGTAGACTGAGTGATCAGAATACTTAAACGGTATGATCTTATAAGAACCATGTCCTTTTCTAATTCTCTAATCAGTAAACA